>NC_000012.12:71702552-71854067 GCF_000001405.40 Homo sapiens
TGATCTGCCCATCTCAGCCTCCCAAAGATCTATTACAAGATGTGAGCCACTGTGCCCAGCCACCAGGGCATGTTTTTAAAAAAGTACTGATGTCTGGGTTTCACACTGCAAAATTCTGATTTATCTGATCTAAGGTACAGCCTGGATATTGAGACTTTTTAAAGCTCTGACTGTACATTGAATCATCATGTAAGGAGTTTTTAAAACATTGTTGCCAGGGCCCCTTTCTAGACCAAGTTAGTCAGAATGTTGGACAATGAGGCCCATGCATGGGTATTTTTACAAAGCTCTCTGGGAGATTCTAATGCTTAACCAAATTGAGAAGCACTGAATAAGAATATCCTGGGCCGGGCGCACTGGCTCATGCCTGTAATCCCAGCATTTTGGAAGGCCGAGGCGGGTGGATCACTTGAGGTCAGGAGTTCGAGACCAGCCTGGCCAACATGGTGAAACACCGTCTCTACTAAAAATACAAAAAATTAGGTGTGGTGGTGCGTGCCTGTATTCCCAGCCACTCAGGAGGCTGAGGCAGGAGAATCGCTGGAACCTGGGATGTGGAGGTTGCAGTGAGCCAAGATTGCACCACTGTACTCCAGCCTGGGCAACAGAGGGAGACTCCATCTAGACTCCATCTCAAAAAAAAAAAAAAAAAAAAAAAAAAAAAAAAAAAAAAAGAATATTCTAAGCACTAGAACTACATAAGAATGTCCTAAAGCACTGTATCTAAGCACTTGAAAAGAATGGGACTTTTCGGTTTTAGGGAGATAACTATTAGCAACCACACAATATGTTATCTTTATGGATGAATAACTTCTGGTAATGACACAGTGTCTTACAGCTACATCATTTATAAAATCATGTGTCAGTTTTCACACAGCCTGCACATCGTTCTGACATGCCCTTTTTTTCCCTGGAGATTTATCCTCATGACATACAAGGGGACAAAAATATTTATTGGGACTGTCTTTGAATTTAGTAGAATCACTGTATCATTAACAGTTTGGGGAAGTACTGCTTTGCAGTCCTTTATTTGAAAACTTAGGTCTAGCTGTGTTTTGCATCAAAATTTTTGAGCTATTCAAAAACTAATAGGATCTGTGTAAAATATTTCACTCAAAACTACTAAAAAAAAGTCTGGGATGGCAGCTCATTATCAAATATACTCCTATTTTTGTGGTGATTTATGAACATCCCCACTAAGTATAACTAAAGATCATAAAGAGCCTCAGATCAAGTTTGGTCAGGTTTTGTCACCAAGCTTTGTAAATAAACTGGTTTTCATAGCTTTTTGGAGATGAGAATTGAGGATAAGAAATTGTGTCTCTGTCCTTTTTTTTTTTTTTTGTTAAGTCTTACATGTATTTTACTGTAACATCTTTTGAATTGGATATTTAACTAATTCAACATATTTTTCCTCTTTGCAGAATGGGCAGTTCATGTTAAAATCACTTTTCATGGAAAGAGCTCTATGTAACAGCATAATAAAACTGCCTACCTAGCAGCATAAAGGTGTACTGTTTCTTATCATACTGTTCCATGATAGAAGAGAGCAGATATATGTGGCTTGGGGCAGCTCCTGAAGAAGACTTGCAGGAGTAGCATGTTGAAAACTCATTAAATGGAGCCACCAAGAGACCAAAGAATTGATACAGCAGGTCATTCTATTATTAGCTTTTCTCATTACTTGAGTTATCTGTTTCTCACATATATCTTTCCTGTTTCTAGCTGCTGTACACATAGGATGCTGCCTGCAGAAATAGCAGCCCCGCCCCAATTAGATAAAGGACTAGTATAGAGAAAAAGCATGTGAAATGATGTTTTAAACTTTGCCGCATACCTGTGATATGAACAGCTGCTGCCTGTTAGGCACAGTGGGTATACTAGGGCCCAATCATCTGATCTTCCTGAAGTTTTATGTAATGTTCCCAGTGCTATCACAATGAGAATGATCTATACTAGCCACCAGATCTCAGGTGAATTGTGGTGTGCTTTAAAAATGAAAACACAGCCGGACGAGGTGGCTTATGCCTGTAATCCTAACACTTTGGGAGGCCGAGGCGGGCAGATCACGAGGTCAGGAGTTCAAGACCAGCCCGGCCAACACAGTGAAACCCCATCTCTTAGCCGGGCATGGTGGCGCATGCCTGTAGTCCCAGCTATTCAGGAGGCTGAGGCGTGAGAATCACTTGAACCCAGGAGGCAGAGGTTTCAGTAAGCAGAGAGCGTGCCACCGCACTCCAGCCTGGGTGACAGAGCAAGACTCCATCTTGAAAAAAAAAGGAAAACACAATTATGTGGCTTAATTATTTAATCTCCTTTATGGAGTATCTGTTTTTATAACTCCAAGTGGTTCTTGATATTTTAAAAATACTTAAGCATTCAATATGTATTCATTGAATTAAGTTGTTTGACTCTAATCATTGTTTCTTTTAAGAATGACTGGAAGGTGATAATCAGCACCATATTCCTGGAGGAAAATACAAAATGAAAAACCAGTTTGGCTACCTGAATTTCTGAGAACTGGAATGTTTCCAGCATTTTTCAATCATGCAAAACAATATTAATGCTTTTGAAACTAATGAGCCAGGAAATTATTGAAGAAGTGAAGGAGTGGCAGGGCGAGGCTTGAAATTATTTTCTCTGACAAGACTTCACTCTCCATTTATCATAACTGCCCTCTTCAAAAAAAAAATTTTTTTTTGTAGATCTAATCGTGAATCTAGACAAGATTTATTTTTATTTATTTTTTATTTTTTTGAGACAGGGTCTTACCCTATTGCCCAGGCTGGAGTGCGGTGGCACAGTCATAGCTTACTGCAGCTTCAACTTCCTCAGCTCAAGTCATCCTCCCGCCTCAGCCCCCAAGTAGCTGGGACTACAGACTTGCACTACTACACCCGGCTACTTTTTTTTTTTATTTTAATTTTTTGCAGAGATGAATCCAGACTATGTCCTATGTTGTCCATAATGGGTTTGAACTCCTGAGCGCAAGTGATCTTCTCACCTCAGCCTTCCAAAGTGTGAGATTACAGGTGCAAGCCACCACACCCAGCCAAAAATTTATTTTATAAATATGGCAACTCTTTTTTTAAGTTTGGATTTTTAAATTTTTATTAATATTAAATAATACACTGACTATTCCTTTTTAAAAATTACAACATTAGGCCAGATGTGGTAGCTCATGTTTATGATCCCAGCACTTTGGGAAGCCAAGGTGGGAGAATCACCTAAGGCCAGGAGTTTGAGACCAGCCTGGGCAGCACAGCAAGACCCCGTCTCTACAAAAAATAAAAAATTAGCCAAATGTGGTGTGTACACCTGTAGTCCCAGCCACTCAGGAAGCTGAGGTGGGAGGATTGTTTGAGCATGGGAGTTGGAGGCTACAGGGAGCCATAATTGCGCCACTGCACTCCAACCTGGGTGACAGAAACTCTGTCTCAATTTAAAAAGTAATAATAAAAATAAATAAAAATTACAACATTAGACATAAAGCTAAAATTTTTTTATTTTTTTTAGAAGGAATCTCGCTCTGTGGCCAGGCTGGAGTGCAGTGGTACAACCTCGGCTCACTGCAGCTTCCGCCTCCTGGGTTCAAGTGATTCCCCTGCCTCAGCTTCCTGAGTAGCTGGGACTACAGGCGTGCACCACCACGCCCAGTATTCTTTTGCCCCCACTATCTCCTCAGCAACTCTGAGCTCCTCCTATCTTCCCCAAGCTAATTACTGATATAAATTTGGGATATGGGCCAGGCACAGTGGCTTATGCCTATAATCCCAGCACTTTAGGTGGTTGAAGCAGGAGGATTGCATGAGGCCAGTAGTTTGAGACCAGCCTGGTCAACATAGTAAGACCCCCATCACTACAAAAAAATTTAAAATTAACCAGGTGTAGTGGTGTGTGCTTGTAGTCCCAGCTACCCAGGAGGCTAAGGCAAGAGGATTGCTTAAGCCCAGGAGTTCAAGGCAGCAGTGAACTATGATTGTACCCCTGTACTCCAATCTGGGCAGCAGAGTGAGACCCTATCTTTAAAAAATAAAAATAAATAAATTTGCAATATTTTGTACATAATTTGTTTAAGTGTGTTTTAACACATTTTAAACTCAATGAAATTGTTATAATTAGTATTGTCTTTTTGCTGCTTCAAGTCAGGTGCTTACATCCTAGAAAAATCTAGGAAGAAGGCCGGGCACGGTGGCTCATGCCTGTAATCCTAGCACTTTGGAAGTCCGGGGCAGGCAGATCACTTGAGGTCAAGAGTTCGAGACCAGTCTGGCCAACATGGTGAAACCCTTCTCTACTAAAAAATACAAAAATTAGCCGGGTGTAGTGGTACATGCCTGTAGTCCCAGCTACTCAGTTGGCTGGCTGAGGCACGAGAATCACTTGAACCCAGGAGGCAAAGGTTGCAGTGAGTTGAGATTGCACCACTGTACTCCAGTCTGGGCAACAGAGTAAGACTCCATCTCAGAAATAAAATAAAATAAAAATCTAGGAAGAAAGATTAGAAGGATGTACACCAAAATATTCTTGTTATCTGAGATAATTACAGATGTATTTAATGCTATTAAAAATACACATACAAAACTAATTTTAGGTTTTTTCTAAAGTCTGTAATCAAATTTGTTTTTTCTATGAATCAAAAACATGCTCAAAGTAAACAAAATAATCTCTGGGAATCACCCTTCTTTCCCTTCCACCCCCTCCTCATTATTTCAAATCTTATTTCTTCTCTTTATAAACTACTTTATTAACAATGAACTGAAAGAGTAAAATGGAATTTTAGTATAACATAAAAGTAACAGTGGATACTCAAGGGAATTTTTTGATACCTTTAAGACGGGATATTTCCCTTGACCTCTTCACAGGACTTGTGAAGGGGTAGCTCATTTACTCAGCCCAAAGCTCTGAACCCCTCAAGAAGCGGAAGCACACAGGTGAGCAGGTGCAGGAGCCGGGGCGAACAAATGCTGGAACCATCTGGTCACTCCTCTCTGGTAGGATCAAGCTTTGAGCAGGCCTCGCGGCAGAGTCCAAGCATGTTACAATGCTCTTTTAGCTCTGCCTTCCGGGAGGGGGTGTCTGTGACCCCCAGAGCCCCAGAGGGCATGTGTTACAATCAGTGCTCTTTTAGCGTTTGCTGTTCGCAGATGGCTAAGTGTTCACCACCTCAGTGGAGGGTGAGGGTCACAGCCTTTTATACTCTTCCCTCTTGGTACTCAAGTTCTTGTCTGTCATCCAGGAAGAATCAGGTCACAAGAACCAGTTGAAGGGTGGTGTATGCGGATAATTTTATTGAGAGATGGAAGTGGCTCTCAGTGGGAAGGGGAGCTGGAGAGGGATGGAGTGAGCAGATAATCTTCCCCTGGAGTTTGGCCATGCCTGGCCAAACTCTTCTCTGAAGTCCTGCCATCAAGCCATCCCTCTGAAGTCAAGCTGCTTTTCTCCAGCTGCTTCTCTTCTCTCCTCCTCTGCCGCTCCGCTCTGCTCTCCTGCCAGTGGAGCTTGGGGGTTTTATGGGTACAGGGTAGGGGGTGGGACAGGCCAGGGTGGTTTTGGAAAAGGCAACATTTGGGTGGGAAAACAGGGATGTGAAGTTCTCATTTAAGGCCTCTGGTCCAAGCTTGAGGGTGGAGCCCTCACCAGGGACCACACCCTTTTCTACCTAGTATTTCCCTGCTTCCTGTTTGTATCACCTTCACTTTCAGATTCTTGTAGGAATTAATGTAAGTATCACATATCTTCTTGCCCATGTAGCGAATCTGGTATGAGACTGGGGTTTTGGCAAATTTTTCAAATTCTTCTGATCTTGTTTAGCTATTTGCATTTGGAATAATACGTGGCAAACACCTTATTGCATGACAAGATTCTCAACACATTGTCATAGAATTCTAGAATAAAGAACCTTGAGGAACCTTTTTACCTCATTGCCCAGACTTGAAGCTAAAAAATACATATACTATCTCATATGGGTGAGTATAATCTTATCCAACTCTTGAATGCTTCCTTTCCTTTATATACCCATCCATTATGGCTGGAATTCTTTTCTACTCCCTTACTGATCCTTAAAAAACCAGCTCAATAACACTTCCTCTGAGAAGCTTTTCCAGAGTGTAAGAATTTTCTCTTTCCATTAAAAATTATTTGAACATATTTCTAATGGCTGGGCAATCCAGCTTAGAGATCACCATACTTTCATTTGTTATTTGAGGGCATTTAGTTTTTTATTCTATATGTGTTATAATAAATAGCATAGTGATGACTGGTTTATGGAAAAGTCTTGGACTACCTTGTGTAATTGTTGCATCAAAGGCTTTTGTTAAGCATTACTTAATTGCTCTTTGGAAAGATTTCAGCAGTTTCTAATAACTCAGTGTATGAGCGTACTGGTCTCACTGCAGCTTCAGCAGCACTGAATATTATTGCTTCCTTAATCTTTGCCATTTAGATTAAAAAATGGTGTCCTGTTTTTAATTTCTAAGAAATGAATCTTGAAGGAGGACACAGAAAACTGCACAGTCTATGTAGTCTTCCAAAGGAAAAGCATTTTGGAATATAATAGTAGTAGTTTATGCTGTGCCGGGTACTGTTTTAAACACTTTTCATACATTAACTTACTTGATTCTCACAACAACCATATGAGGTAAGTACATTATTCATTTTTGTACCAATAACAAAACTGAGCTCAAAAAGGTTAAGTAAGAAAGCATAGGTGATAGACACTCAGATTAACTAAAGATAGAAGAAAATACTGAGCAGTTGGGGAATTATTATTTGTGTTGTAATAGCAAAACTATAGCTCGTTCAGCCAGCACTGAGATTTTCCAAAAGACAAAAAAAAAATCCAGTGGGTAATTGTGCTAATGGGACAGGAGAATTGAGAGAATTGAACTATTCCCATTCAGCAGCCCCTCTAATTGCCCTCTGACTGAAGTTTTTGTTTTTTCTAAAGCAAGACTCTATTAAGAGTGAAAAAGTTACTTCCAGAGTAGTAGAAGATATCTGCAGCATGTAGGTCCAACAAGGGATTCATATGCAGAGTATAAAGCAAACACCTGCAAATTAATAAGAAAAGACCCATCAACTCAATAGAAAAATGAGCAAAACACTTAAACAGTCACTTCATAAAAGAGGATATCCAAATGGCCAATAAACATCTGAAAAGGTGCTTAACATCTTTAGTCATCAGGGAAATGCAAATTAAAACCACACTGGATACCCCACCTACCAGAATAGCTAAAGTGAAAAACAATAGAAAATACTAAATTGTTGAGGAGATGCAGTTCAAATAGAACTCTTGTACTGCTACAGGGAATATGTTTAGTACAACCACTTTGTAAAAGTGTTTAGCAGTATCTGCTAAAGTTGAACACATACACTTTGACCCATTGATCTCATGCCGAGGGCATATTCTCAAACGAAATACCCATACCAGTTCTCTTCCTCAGTTTTCACAATGTCATTTTTGCTGCAGTTATTGATCATAAAAGTCACAAGGCCAGGAAGACTCAAGGTATAAGACAATATATTCCACTTCTTGATGGAAGCAGTAGCAAAGTTAGGTGCAGAGGGGAAAGGTGGCAGAGAGGTATGATGGATTGAGGGTTCTTATTCTAACACTATACCACGTTCTTGCTTTCTCAGCCCCTGGGTATCTATCCTCTTCTGGTAGGCAGTCTCACCTCTCCGGCAGTGATCTTGGCCAAGATTTAAGACAACCTCATGATAGGGTTTCACCGGGTCATCCACATGCTCCATGGGAAAAATCCCTTGCTTTGACAGTCCCTGAGAGTGCTAGTCGATCTCAGTGTAGCAGCACCTTTCTGGTTCACCATCAGAGAGGCAAGCATTTTTGTGTTTTCTGGAATCCCTGGCCATGAGTCAGCCCCCAGGGTAACAGTCCATTTAATTTTCTCAGGCATGAGTCAGGCACCAGTCATCTCTGTCTCCAACTAAAGGAAACACTCTTCAAAGGTACACTTAATGCCCCGTCACTAGGCCTGATGTTGGAAGGCGGCAATCTCCCACTCCTCCCCAGGTTGGAGATTTACAGCCTGACTACCACTCCCTCTAAAGAAACTCTTCCCTACTCTTACAAAAGCTTTTTCCTCTCAGATTCCATTTTATGATCCTTACCTGGCTAAGGAGTCTATAAGTTGTGCAACACCTTGTAGACTTGTGTCTAAACCATTCTTTTTATAAGTTCTACATAGAGAGATGTATGTCTCACCCTCAGTTCAGTTTCCCGTTGTCTGTTATACCACTTCTCAAGCAAAACTAGGCAATTAGAGTCATTTCTATCCTAAAACCCCATTTGTTAGCAGTGTACACATATGATGTGTGGCTAATGTGTAGCAAAACACTATACACTAGTGTATATGTATGATAATAGAGGATATGACAAAGTTCAGTGAGACCTCTCTACCTGACTGCTTGGTGACTGAATTGTGAAGGGGCATGACGTGTGAGGAGTGACTGCGACTAGAAATTAGGTGGAGGGAGTTGTGTGAAATGAAGCTAGAGAGGTATGATGAGATCCATTTGTAAAGGCCCTAATACTAGTATAATCCTGGGGCAAAAAACAAATCTATTAGTCTTCCTGTAAGGAAAAGTACTGTAATTTCTATTCCACCACATTGTTGATATTAAATGAGTTAATATATGTGAAAATCCTTTGGAGAAACCATGTATAGTAGACAGTAAGGGTCCCCTCAAAATGTCCATGTTCCAATCCTCAAAAATGGTAAATATTTGCCTTCCATGGCAAAGAGGACTTGCAGACATGATTAAGGTTAAGAACTTTTAAATGGGGAGATTAACCTGGATTATCCAAGTGGACCCAACCTAATCATGAGTCCTTCAAAGCGGAGGACCAGTCAGCAAGATAGTGGACTAAGAAGCTACAGGCCCTCCTTCTCCCACAGAGTCACCAAGTTAATAGCAGTATACCGACCAGAATACCTCTGTGGGGATGCTAAAGTTCAGTTGAGAAGCTACAGCACCAAAGTTATTGTAAAACTAAGAAGGGGGCTGGGTGCGCCAAAGTTATTGTAAAACTAAGAAGGGGGCTGGGTGCGGTGGCTTACGCCTATAACCCCAGCCATTGGGAGGACAAGGCAGGCCGATCACCTGAAGTCAGGAGTTCGAGACCAGCCTGGCCAACATGGCAAAACCCCATCTTTACTAAAAATATTAAAAAATTAGCCAGGCATGGTGGCAGACACCTGTAGTCCCAGCTACTTTGGAGGCTGAGGCATGAGAATTGCTTGAACCCAGGAGGCAGAGGTTGCAGTGAGCCAAGATCGTGCCACTGCACCCCAGCCTAGTCAACAGAGCGAGACTCCATCTCAAAACAAAACAAAACCAAAACCAAAAAGGGAGTACCAGCAAAAGGGATAGGAAAAGAAGGACATTATATAGTGATGGAGAAGTCAATGCTCTAAGAAAATATAACAATTATTAATATTTATGCACCAAACCTCAGAGCACTTAAATATATGAAGTAAACTTTGACAGAATTGGAGATAGAATTAGATAGCCACATAATAGTAGGAGACTTCAATACCCCACTTAAAAAAAAATGGAGAGAACAACCAGCAGAAGATCAATAAGGAAATAAAGAAATTAAACAACACGGTAGATCAATTGGACCTAAAAGATATATACAAAGCACCCCACCCTAACAACAGTAGAATATACATTTTTTTCTAGGGCGCATAAAATGGTCTCCAGATAAACCATGTGTTAGACCACAAAACAAGTCTTAACAAATTCAAGAAAATGGACATCACAATGGATTAAACTGGAAAGCAATAGCACAAAGAATACGGAAAAATCTACAAATATGTAGAAATTAAACAACATACTACTTTTGACCAATAGGTCAAAGAAGAAGTCACAAAGAAAATTGGGAAATACCTTGAGACAAATTAGAATGGAAACAATATTTCAAAACTTATGAGATGCAACAAAAGCAGCACTAAGAGAAGTTTATAGCTATAAATGTGTACATTAAAAAAGAAGATCTCAAATCAACAACCTAACTTTACATCTTAGGAAACTAGAAAAAGATGAACAAACTAAATCCAAAGCTAGCAGAAGATAATAAAGATTAGAGCAGAGAGAAATTAGAGAACAGAAAAACAGTAGGAGAAAATCAACAAAACTAAGAGTAGCTTTTTGAAAGGATCAATAAAATTGACAACCCTTAGCTGATTAACTTAAAAAAAGAGAGAAGACTGAAATAACTAAATATAAATGAAAGAAGAGATGGTACAATTAATGCCGAAGAGATAAAAAGAGAATAGTATAAGTGAATACTATGAACAATTGTACAGCAACAAATTGGATAATCTAGAAGGAATGGATGAATTCCTAGAAATATACAACCCACCAAAATTGAATCATGAAGAAATAGAAAATCTGAGCAGACCAATAACAAATAAGAAGATTGAGTCAATAATCAAAAACCTCCCAACAAAGAAAAGTCCAGGACCAGATGACTTCACTGGAGAATTCTACCAAACATGTAAAGACTAATTAACATTTATTTTCCTCAAAGTCTTCCAAAAAATTGAAGAGGAGGAAACACTTCTAAGCTTAATCTATGAGGCTATCATGACCCTGATACCACAGTGAAAGACACTACAAGAAAAGAAAACTACACACCAATATCCCTGATAAATAGTGGTGCAAAAATCTTCCACAAAATACTAGCAAACAGAATTCAATAGCACATGAAACAGATTATACAGCACGACCAAATAAGATTTATTCTGGACTGCAAGGATGGTTCAGCTGGTGAAACTCAGTCAGTGTAATACACCACATTTACAAAATGAAGAGCAAAAGCCACACAATCATTTCAATGGATGTAGGAAACACATTTGACAAGATTCAACACCCTTTCATAATAAAACACTCAACAAACCAGGGATAGAAGTAAACTACTTCAACTATTAAAGGCGATTTATGCAAAGTCTACAGCTAACATACTCAATGGTGAAAGACTGAAAGCTTTTCCTCTAAAATCAGGAAGAAGGCCAAGATGCCCACTCTGGCCACTTCTATTCAACATAGTATTAGAATTTCTAGCCACAGCCATTAGACAAGAAAAAGAAATAAAAGTATCCAGATTGGAAGGAAAGAAGTGAAACTACCTCTGTTGGCAGTTAACATGATCTTATATGTAGAAAACCATAAAGATTTCACAAAAAAAACTATTAGAATTAATAAATGAAGTCACCAAGTTGCAAGATACAAAATCAACACAAAAATTAGTTGCATTTCTGTACATTATCAATAAACAATCTGAAAAGGAAATTAAGAAAAACGCAATTTACAATAGCATCAAAAAGAATAAAATACTTAGGAATAAACCTAACCAAGGAGGTAAAACACTTGTATGCTGAAAATTATAGAACATTGCTGAAAGAATTGAGAGAAGACACAAATAAATTAAAAGACATCTTGTGTTCATGGATTGGAAGACAATATTGTTAAGATGTTCATACTACCCAAAGCAATCTGCAGATTCAGTACAATCCCTATCAGAATTCCAGTGGGGGCCAGACACAGTGCCTCATACCTGTAACCCCAGCTCTTTGGGAGGCCAAAGCGGGCGGATCTCTTGAGCCCAGGAGTTTGAGACCAACATAGGCGACATGGTGAAACTCATTTCTACAAAAAAATACAAAAATTAGCTGGGTATGGTGGCATACTCCTGTAGCCCCAGCTACTCAGGAGACTAAGCTGGGAGGATCTATTGAGCCTGGGAGGTTGAGGCTGCAGTGAGCCATGATTCCACCACTACACTCGAGCCGGGGCAACACATCAAGACCCTGTCTCAAAAAAAGGAAAAAAATTCCAATGACATTTGTTGCAAAATAGAAAAATTCATCCTAAAATTCATATGGAATCTCAAGGGACCCTAAATGGCTAAAACAATTTTGAAAAAGAGTAACAAAATTGGATGACTCACATTTTCTTATTTCAAAAATTATTACAATGAGACAGTAATCAAACGGATGTGTTCTGTCATAAAGACAGACAAATAGACCAAGGGAATAGAATAGAGAGCCCAGAAATAAATTATCTTACATATGGGCAAATGACGTTCAACAAAGGTACCAATAATAGACAATGCCAAAGGATACTTTCTTCAACAAATGATATTGGAATACTGGGTATCTGCATGTAAAAGAATGAAATTGGATCCTTACCTTACGCTGTATACAAAAATTAACTCAAAGTGGGTTAAAGACATTAACATAAGATCTTGGCTGAGTGCAGTGGCTCACTCCTGTAATCCCAGCACTTTGGGAGGCCAAGAAGGGTGGATCGCTTGAGTCCAAGAGGTTGAGACCAGCCTGGGAAACATTACAAAACCCTGTCTCTACAAAAAGTACAAAAAATTAGCTGGACATGATGGCGTGCACCTGTGGTCCCAGCTCTTCAGAAGACTGAGATGGAAGGATCTCTTGAGTCCAGGAACAGAGGTTGCAGCGAGCCAAGATCGTGCCACTGGCTGCACTCCAGCCTGGGTGACAGAGCAAGACCCCATCTGAAAAAAAAAGAAAAAAGCCCATTAACATAAGATCTAAAACTTTAAAACTCCTAGAAGAAAACACAGGAGAAAGCTTCATGACATTTGACTTTGCAATGATGTTTTGGATATGACAACAAAAGCACAGGCAAGAAAAGCAAAAATAGACAAATGAGACTACCTTAAATTTAAAAATTGTCGTGCATCAAAGAATACAATCAGAGTGAAAGACACCGTATAGAATGGGGAAAATAATTACAAATCATATCTCTGATAAGGAGCTAATATTTAGAATATAAAGAACTACAACTCAACAACTGAAAAATTAAAAAATCCAATTAAAATATAGGCACAGAACTTGAATAGATGTTTCTCCAAAGATGATATACAAATATATAAGCATATGAAAATGCACTCAACATCACTAATTTTTAGAGAAATGCAAATCAAAACCACACAAAGATGTCACCCACACCCATTAGGATGACAACTCAAAAAAAAAAAAAAAAAGGAAAATAACAAATGTGGTCAAGTATGTGGAGAAATGAAACCTGTGCACTGTGTTGGGATGTGAAACAGTGTGACCACTATAGAAAACAGTTTAGAGGTTCCCCAAAAAATTAAAAATAGAACTACCATATGATCTAGTGATTCCACTTCTGGATGTATATCCAAAAGAATTGAAAGCAGGGTCCCAAAGAGATAGCAGGGTCTCAATCCCATGCTCATGGCATTGCTATTCACTACCCTCAAGAGATGGAAGCAACCCAAATGTCCCTCATGGATGAATGAATAAATAAAATGTGTTATATACATACAGTGAAATATTATTCAGCCTTAAAAAGGAAGGAAATTGTGTCACATTCTACAACATGGATGAAGCTTCATTGAGTACATTATGCTTAATGAAATAAGCCAGTCACAAAAAGATAAATGCTATATGATTCTGCTTATATGAGGTATCTAAAATTCATAGAAACGGAAAGTAGAATGGTGGTTACCAGGAGATAAGGGGAAGGGGGAAAACAGATGTTTAATGGGTACAAAGTTTCAGACTGAGGGGTGAAAAATTTCTAGAGATCCGTTTCACAGGAATGTGAATATACTTAACACTATTGAACTGTGCAATTAAAAATGGTTCAGATTGTAAATTTTATGTTTTTTTACCACAATTCAAATAAAATAGGTAAATACAAAAGAGAACTCTTCCTAACTATGGTCAAAGAAAGTGATGCAACTACAGAGGAGTCAGAGAGATGCTGGTTTTGAAGACGGAGGCAGGAGATTATGAACCAAGGAACATGGGTGGGCTCTAGAAGCTGGAAAAGGCCAAGAAATGTGTTCTTCCTTATAGCTTCCAGAAAGGATCACAGTGCTGCTAACAGCTTGATTTTAGGAATTCTGACTTACAACACTAAGATAATAAATTTTTGTTGTTTTCAGCCACTAAATTTGTGGTAATTTGTTACAGCAGCCACAGAAAACTAATACACCATGTCAGCTTTGAGTGGCAGAGTAATGAAGCACAGACTCTGGAGCTCAACTGCTTAGGTTCAAATGCTAGCTCTGCCACTCTCTAGCTTTGTGAACCTGTTTGCTTAACCTCTCTGTGTCTCAGGTTCCTCATCCATAAATTGTTTTGTTTTTTTTTCGTGGGATGGGGGGCGGGTCGGTGATGGAGTCTCACTCTGTCGCCAGGCTGGAGTGCAGTGGCACCATCTCGGCTCACTGCAATCTCCGCCTCATGGATTCAAGCCATTCTCCTGCCTCAGCCTCCTGAGTAGCTGGGATTACAGGTGCACGCCACCACACCCAGCTAATTTTTGTATTTTTAGAAGAGATGGGGTTTCACCGTGTTGGCCAGGATGCTCTCGATCTCCTGACGTCATGATCCACCCACCTTGGCCTCCCAAAGTGCTGGGATTACAGGCATGAGCCACCACGTCTGGCCTGTTTTTGTTGTTGTTGTTTTATGAGATGGAGTCTCACTCTGTTGTCCAGGCTGGAGTACAATGGCGCAATCTTGGCTCACTGCAACCTCTGCCTCCCGAGTTCAAGCAATTCTCCTGCTCAGCCTCCCGAGTAGCTGGGATTATAGGTGCCCACCACCATGCCCAGCTAATTTTTGTATTTTTAGCAGAGACAGGGTTTCACCATGTTGGTCAGGCTGGTCTTGAACTCCTGACCTCAGGTGATCCACCCACCTCGGCCTCTGAAAGTGCTGGGATTACAGGCGTAAGACCACGTCTGGCACATAAATTGGGGTTATTAATAGTACTTCATGAAGTAGTTGGGAGGATCAAGGCAGTTAAGTCACCTGAGGTACCTAGTACAGTTTCTAGTAGACAGTAAGTAGCCAATATGTTTTACCATTACTATACTATTCAACATGACTAAAGTGTCATACAACTGCAGGGTACTTCTGTTCCTTTTACATTTATTGTTGTTACTATTCTGTGAAAAAAGATGAGTCCCAATCTGATATGCATAAAGTGTTTGTGTAATTCATTTCGCAAAAAGTAAGAAGGATAATTTTTTTACACCAAGCTATATTAATCAAACCTCATTCTTAAACTTTTGGGGTCATTTTTCTCCTAATAAGATAAGGCATACTAATAGGCACAAGGCTCACTATGCTTCTTTAGCCTTTTCAATATTTATTCTCCTAACGTGCCTCATGTATTCAGGCCATCTAGACTATTACCGGTTCCAGGATATACTCTGTGCTTTCTAATATCACCACATTGTTCTGCACATTCTTTTTAGAGGGCTCTTGGTTTTGTACTGGCAGAAAGTTCACTGGCGTCTGTGAGAATGTATATGTACTTCTGCATTTAGAATTAGATCCTGGAGTGATTCAGGAATGGTAAACTAACCTGTGTGCCAGTTTACAAATTCCTTTCCTCTCATTTAATTTTCACCTCCACCCCGACCTCCAAATGCCCCTAGAGCCCTTAAGGGAAGAAACAGGAGGTATTACAAAAAAGTAGGAGATCCTCTCTGAATGTCTAGATCACTGTGTTGCCTGCTCAGCTTCCCTCTGGTAGAAAGGGGGAAAAGTCAACTGACTTGAGAGGACACATGGTCTCTGAGCCATCTTTGTGCCATGATTGCTGTCCCATTTTTCCCTAAGAGCTGAATGGATTTCACCAGTTTTTACGTAAGTAATATGACATTTTGGAGAGTTGGGCTGTCGGAGGATTTTTTCACTACCCACCTATCAGAAGTGGGTTAAGAAGCCACTTTTGGCTTCTCAATTATAATTAAGATTGTTAAGGTGACTTGACCCTGTTGGTGTGTAATTAATAATGCAGCCTTCACAAGATATAAATGCTCTTTTAATTAGCATGGTAAAACAAAAGGGAAGATACACTCTTACACAAAGGAATAAGAAGCTTATTACACAAAACAGTTTGGGTTTTGTTTTGGGTTTTTTTTTGCTTTTCATTTGGAATGTTTAAACATATACAAACAGATTAATATAATATACCAACTTCAACCATTATGGGCATGCTGCCATTCTTGTTTATCTAGACCACCACTCATTCCCAGTCCCAGCTAGATTTTTTTTATGGTCCTATTTTTCTGAGGTGAATGTTTCCACATTGAAATACACACATATTTTTAACTGTGCAACTTTGACAAATGATATGCCTATGTGAAGCACTCCCCTGTCAAGATATAGAACATTTCCATCATCCCAGAAATTCCCTTGTGTCATTTCCTATCAATCCCTCCTCTTTTCAGAGGCAAGACCATAGTTTTGCCTGTTCTAGAACAACATACAAATGGAATTATGTAGGATGTACTCTGTTGTGTCTGGCTTTTATCACTATAATATCAGAGCTTTCTGTGCATGGTGGCATGTATAAGTAATTCATGGCTTCCCATTGCTGAAATGTATTCTATTGTATGATGTCATCCACAACCTCCAGGATGGCTCCTTTTTAGTCCTCTCCCATATTGAATGGGGGACTAAATATTGGTCTGTGTTACCAATAGGACATAGATGAAATGACGGTGTGTGACCTCTGAGGCTAGGCCATAAAAGACATTGCCGCTTCCACCTGCTTTCCCTGGGATCACTCATATTGGGGAAGGCCAGTCACCGTGTCATGGGGGCACTAAAGCAATCAGCAGAGAGGCCCATATGGGGAGAAACTGAGGTCTCTTGCCAACAACCAGCACTGTGTAAAATAGATCTCCAGTCATTGTCAAGCTTCCAGCCTGGCCAAAATGTTAACTGCATCCTCATGAGGGACTTCAAGCCAGAAACACCCAACAAAGCTGCTCCTGAATTCATGACCTACAGAAACTATGTTCATGAGAGATATGGGTCTGCAGTTTTTCTTTCTTATAATTAGGCATTAGGGAAATGCTGACCTTATAAAGTAGTGAGTTAGAAAGTGTTCCCTCTGTTTCTGTTTTCTGTAACAGTTTGTAAAGAACTGGTATCTTGTTCCTTAAATCTTTGGTAGACTTCACCAATGAAACCATCTAAGCCTGGTAATTTCTGTTTGGAAGGTTATTAATTGTTGATTCAATTTTTAAAATAGAAAGCCCTGTTCCGATTATCTCTTTTTCCTTGTGTGAGTTTTAGTAGATTGTGTCTATGCAATAATGGTCAATGGCCAGGTCAAGGGTGGAACAGGACACAACCAGCAGAAAAGCCCTGAGGCAGGAAAGAGCTTGGCATGTTAAAGTAAGGGAAAAGTGGCTCTTTTATCTGGACCCTAGTGAGCCATAGTGAGAGTGAGACAAGGAGGTGGGAGCATCAGGCAGAAAGAGACTAGACCGATGAGCTTTGCCTTGTCAGAATTTAGGACTCTATCTTACGGCAATGGGAAATCACTGACAGCTTTTACAAATCTCCTTGAATCTGAGATGTAGCCACATTCTGAAGTCCTCATTCTCTTTAAGATCTTCATTCTGCAAAGCCAAAAAATCTGTCTGGGGAAATTCAGCAATGACTAATACGCGAGTAGATCAACAGGCAAACACTGATTTTTTTTTTTTTTTTTTGGCACAGGTATTAAAGCAGTTGTTCTCAATGTTGGCCTCAAAGTGGAATCACCTGGGGAGTTTTGAAAGCTCCTACTTCCTTGAAACCCTAATTTTAGAGACTTGATCTAACTTGTCTGAGATAAGGTAGGAGGATTTCTAAATGCTTCTCAGTGATTCATATGTGGAGCCAAGGTTGAGAACCATTAGCAGGGAAGCTAGAATGCTCACAGTTTTAATAATTTGTATTCTACCATGTATGCATTCATTTTCTGAAACAAGTTTTAACAATAGTCAATATGTTGGCCAGGAACTATACTTAGTGCTTCAAAAAGGTAGACTTTTTAAATTGTCGTGACAACCCCTCAAGAATTTTCTTACATACAATTAAATTTTTTTAATCTTATTTTCCCCCATTGGATAGATAAGGAAACTGAGATATAGAATTTGAATAATTTGCCCAAGGCTTCATCGGTAATAAACAGAAGAGCTGGCATTTGAACTCAGGAAGTATGGCTCCTAAGTCCTCTTTTGCATCTACTGTTCCCAAACCTCTATTTATGGAGTCAAAATGAAGATGACAACCTGCCTGCTTTCTACATTGCCAGCACAAAGAAAGAGAACTGCTTCTTGTAATTCACGTCCTCCAAAAACCAGACCCAAGCCCAACGGGAAAAAGTCATAAAATAATAATCTCCACCAAAAGGGAAGAAATTTTATATTTATATATTTTTAAACCACATAATGAAATTCAAGTGCTATAAAGAAAAATTACTAGAAATATAAAAAATATTAATCCTCAATTAAATATATTGGTAGGTAAATTGAAAAAGAAGTAGGTCACTGTAGTGGCCTAGAAGGTAAAGTAGAAGAACTCTCCCAAGGCATACAACAAAAAAAAGTGATAGGGAAATTAGGAGGGAAAAGATAAGCAACTGGAGGAAAAAGTCAAGAGGTCTAATACATAAAATATAGGCATTCTAGATACACAAAAGAAACATTGCAGGAGGGCTAAATACCTAATTTTATAAATTAAAAGAGCTCCCAGAAATCCAAGATAGACTAAATTGATGAAAAATGATATATATAAAATCAGGTAAAATTCCTGAACTTTGAAAAGCAAATATTATTTGCTACCATTTAGAAAGAAAAAGTTGTCAAAAAAGAAAAAGAATCAGACTTGCATTGTACTTTGTTGGAAACTTGAAAGCAGTGGAATATCATCTTTAGAGAAAAGGCAAGATTCTCTACCTAGCTATGCTATGTGAAGTATATCCTAAGCCCCCTGACTGACTGAATGGACCCCTCTTGGCCAAGGAGAACCCAGAAAAACTAGAAGTTAAATTTCTAGGCCATGACAAGACAGGAAGTCAGTCACACCTCAGTATACCCCTTTGTTCATTAACTGTTACCAGATCTTTTCTTTCTTTCTTTCTTTTTCTTTCTTTTTTTTTTTTTTTTTTTTTTTTTGAGATGGAGTCTCGCTTTGTTGCTGTGCTGGAGTACAGTGGCATGATCTCAGCTCACTGCAACCTCCGCCTCCCGGGTTCAAGTGATTCTCCTGCCTCAGCCTCCCAAGTAGCTGGGTAGCTGGGACTACAGGCGTGCGCCACCATGCCCAGCTAATTTTTTTTTTTTTTTAATTTAGTAAAGATGGGGTTTCACCATGTTGGCCAGGATGGTCTTGATCTCTTGACCTCATGATCCACCCATCTTGGCCTCCCAAAGTGCTGGGATTACAGGCGTAAGCCACCACGCCCAGCCCTGGATCTTTTCTTAAGAGTTAAACAGAAAGCAGCCTTGGCAAACAAAGAATGGAAAACCCTTCCACTGACTTCAGCTGCAACCACCACCTGACACTATGGCCAGACTCCCCTCCCTTTTGCAGTTGAGACATGGCAGCTTACCAGTTTCACAAAGTGTTCCTTCCTGATAAATAACCACTGACCATGGGCTGTTTCTGGCCGGTTTACAGCGGCTATCCACACAGCACCTCTGTGTCCTAAGTTTCACATTTTGATGTATAGAGCCTAATTTTAGTGCATTTTAACATTAAGTCTCCACCCCAAAGTGAACATGAAACATATGTAACATGTATGTTTGCTTACCATGCATGACCACAACCCCCCTTCATGGATATTTATAGTTTCTCCTTTAGCCTGTTAAATATGTGTTTAGCCAACCCATTTAGCATAGAACTCCTGTCCCACCCTACCTCCCTCAAAGTGTCTGCTTTTGGTCTTAGCTGGAGGCTCTGCTTCCCAGCCTACAGGTTGCAGCCTTACTCAAGAAATAAAGTTCTCCTTTCTGGATTTATAGATCTCATGTTTTTTAGGTTGACAGATATAATTAATCTGTCAAAGGAAAAAAAGGTCTTTGAGAATGTGCAATAATTCAGAGGGTCACTCACATGACTCATCTGAGAAAGATATTAAAGAAAAGACAACAATTTATTTTGAGATGTACAAGCACTTCAAAATAGTGAGAAGAGAGAAAAAACAGAATGAGCAAAAATACACCCTGCCATCTATGTGCATAGTTATATGTAAATGAATAAGAATATACTGGATGTATTAGTCTGTTCTCACACTGCTATAAAGAACTACCTGAGGCCGGATGCAGTGGCTCACACCTGTAATCCCAGCACTTTGGGAGGCCAAGGCAGGCAGATCACCTGAGGTCAGGAGTTCAAGACCAGCCTGGCCAACATGCTGAAACCCTGTCTCTACTAAAAAATACAAAAAAAAAATAGCCAGGCCTGGTGACGGGCACCTATAATCCCAGCTACTTGGGAGGCAGGAGAATCGCTTGAATACAGGAGGTGGAGGTTACAGTGAGCCGAGATGGTGCCATTGCACTCCGGTCTGGGCGACAAGGCGCGATTCTGTCTCAAAAAAAAAAAAAAAAAGTAAATATAAAAGCTGTTCAAAAGATTAAAATGATAAAGTTAACAAGATAATAGGCAAAATATCTCAAGCAAATGCAAACAAGAAAGCAGAAATGACACCAATAATATAAGAGTAAGTGGAATTTAAGATCAAAAGCACTAAACAGGATAAAGATTGACATTATGTACTTTTTAAAAGGCACAATATGGCCAGGCGCAGTGGCTCATGCCTGTAATCCCAGCACTTTGGGAGGCCAACGCAGGCAGATCACTTGAGGTTGGGAGTTTGAGACCAGCCTGGCCAACATGGTGAAATCCTGTCTCTACTAAAAATCCAAAAATTAGCCAGGCACTGTGGCATGTGCTTTTAATCCCAGCTACTCAGGATCTTGAGGCAGGAGAATTGCTTGAACCCAGGAGGTAGAGGTTACAGTGAGCCGAGATTGCACCACTGCACTCCAGCCTGGGTGACAGAGGGAGACTCTGTCTCAAAAATAAATAAAAAAAATAAAAAATAAAAGGTACAATTTATGAAAAAGGTATAATTTTATTGTACTTATTTTATTTATTTTTTTAGAGACTGGGTTTCACTCTGCCACCCATGCTGGTGTGCACTGGCATCATCATAGCTCATTGCAACCTTGAACTCTTAAACTCGTGATCCTCCTGCCCCAGCCTCCCAAGTAGCTAAGACTACAGGCATGTGACACCATGCCCAACTAATTTTTAATTTTTTTTTTTCTTTTTTTGTAGAGACAGGAGCTTGCTATGTTGACCAGGTTGTTCTTGAACTCCTGGCCTCAATCAATCCTCCTGCCTTGGCCTCCTGAAGTGTTGGCATTATAGACATAAGCCACCATACCTGGCCTGAAAAAGGTAGAATTTTTAAATTCTATACACCAAACATCATGCTGGTAAATTATGTAAAGCAAAAACATTAGAAATGCGTAATATAGAGAAGTATTTAGTGGAAGACATAAATATATTTCTGTTAGAATTGATCAATTCTAGGGCAACTACACAATAAATTACCTTGCTTTAATAGCTACATTTAGAATCTTTTATTACTCTAACAGACAATATTCTCTCTTTTTTTTGTATGTCCTTAGAACATTTACATATACCATGTATTTTCTCACGAAGAACATTTTTTTAAAAAATAACAAATTTTAAAAAGTAGAGATACTAGTAACTACCTTCTCAGATAATAACATAATAAAAATTAGGGGAAAACCAAAGGAAGTTATAAGCTACTTTGGATGCAGTGAAAAGAAGACTGCATACCAAAACTTACAGGACATTTGAAAGCTGAATCCAGAGTGAAATGTTCGCCATTAAATAAATTTATTATTAAATAAGAAAAACAAAAAGGAACTAATTTTTTATCTTAAAAATTAAAAATTAACAAAGTATACTGAGACACGAGGATTTTAAAAAATAATCTAGTAGCCAAAATCAGTGAAACAGAGAACAAACAAAAAGAATAGAAAGTATGCATAATTAAATAAGCTGGTTCTTTGAAAACAAAATAAGTAAACTCATGTGTCTAATAAAGTAAAATGGATACAGCAAAAATAGACACAATTAGGCATGAAAAAGAAGACATACTACATATTCAGCAAAGAGGAAAATAATTATGAGGCTACAAGGAGACTTCAAAAAGTTTATGGAAAAAAATGGATTAAAAGATAAAAATAAGCAGGAGGCTCACTTGAGGCCAGGAGTTTAAGATCAGCTTGGGCAACAAAGAGAAACCTTGTCTCTACAAAAAGAAAAAAGATAAAAATAAAAATTACAAACTTTATTTCTCAACATGAGTTCCATCAAGTCCAAGACAGTTTTGTAAGCAATAATACCAGCCATTTAGTCCATCCCTAAAGAACTGAGGGTCCTGGGAATTTAACCATGTTGATGCAGGCTTTTTTACATTATTTACTTAAGGAAAATGGGTGCCCTTTACAGACTTTTTAAGATAAGGATACAAAAATAAGTAAGAAGGAGCCACATCAGGACTGTAAGGTGGATGCCTAATGATTTCCCATCAAAACTTTCACAAAATTGCCCTTATTTGATGAAAGGAATGAGCAGGAGCATTATTGTGGTGGAGAAAGACTTCGGTAAACCTTTTCCAGATGTTTTTTTCTGCCAAAACTTTAACTAACTTTCTCAAAACACTATCATTATAAGCAGATGTTATTGTTCTTTGGCACTCCAGAAAGCCAACAAGCAAAATTCCTTGAGTATTTCAAAAAACTGATGCCATGACCTCTGCTCTTGATTACTCCACTTTTGCTTTGACTGGACCACTTCCACCGCTTGGTAGCCATTGCTTTGATTGTGTTTTGTCTTCAGGAGTGTACTGGCAGAGCCATGTTTCATCTCTAGTTACAATTCCTTGAAGAAGTACGTCAGAATCTTGATCCCACTTGTTTAAAATTTTCATTGAAAGCTCTGCTCTTGTTTGCACCTCTGCTCTTGTTTGCAACTGATCTGGTGCGACAGTTTTGGCACCCATGAAATGGAAAGTTCGCTCAACTTTTCAGTCAGAATTGCGTAAACTGAACCAATTGAGATGTCTATGGTATTGGCTGTTGTTTGTGCTGTTATTCATCAGTCCTGTTCAGTTAAGGCACAAACATGATTAGTATTTTCCTCAAAAATTGGATGATCTTCCACCGTAGACTTCATCTTCAATATCATTTCTTCCCATCTTAAAAGAAGCTATCCATTTGTAAACTGCTGATTTCTTTGGGGCATTGTCCTCATATACTTTTTGGAAAGCATCAATGATTTCACCATTCTTCCACTCAAGCTTCCCCATAAATTTGATGTTTGTTCTTGCTTAAATTTTAGGAGAATTCATGTTGCTTTGATTGGGGCTCTTTTCAACCTGATGTTGTATCTTTCACATGTTATAACAAGTTAGTACAAGTTTGCTTCGGTGGAAACAAATTTTGGAATTTGTGCACAGTTTTTTTTTTGTAATATGCATTTTTTAATGAATCTTTTGAAGTCTTACTACCGCCAATTTTACAGCAACAAATTTGAAAGCCTTAAGCAAATGAATAATTTTTTAGTTAAATATGTTACCAAAAATTGGTACTCTGTAAAAAATTACAATCTTTACAAAAGAGATAGTGCTATGGACTAAATTGTGTCCCCTAAAAATTCATATATTGAAGCCCTAATCCCCAATATTTGGAAAAAGGGCCTATAAGGAGGGAATTAAGAGTGGGACCCTAATATGATAGGGTTGATGCCTTATAAGAAAAGGGGGCTTGACTTGGTGGCTCACGCCTGTAATCCCAGCACTTTGGGAGGCTGAGGCAGGCAGATCACAAGGTCAAGAGATCGAGACCATCCTGCCTAATATGGTGAAACCCTATCTCTACTAAAACTACTAAAATTAGCTGGGTGTGGTGATGTACCCCTGTAATCCCAGCTAACTGGGAGGCTGAGGCAGAAGAATCACTTGAACCTGAGAGGCAGAGGTTGCAGTGAGCCGAGATCACACCACTGCACTCCAGCCTGGCAACAGAGTGAGACTCCATCTCAAAAAAAAAAAGAACAAAGGAAAAAAGAAAAGGAAGAGTCATCAGAGCTCTCTCTTGCTTTCTGCCATGTGAGGACACAGTGAGAAGACAGTCATCTACACGAGAGTCCTCACCAGGAATTGAACCAACTGGCACTTTGATCTAGGACATTCCAGTCTCCAGAACTCTGAGAAATACCTTTCTGTTGTTCAAGCCACCCAGTCTGCAGTATTTTGTTATGATAGCGCAATCAGATTTAGATGATGTTTAGATGAGACTGAACTTTAGACTTTAGAAATCATGCTGGAGTGAGTTAATACCTTTGCAGCTGTTGGAATGGACTGAACATATTCTGCATGTAATAAGGGAATGAATGTTGGGGGTTAGGGGTGGAGTGCTATGAGCTGATTTGTTTCCCCAAAATCCATATGTTGAAGCCCTAACCCCTAATGTGACTATATTTGGAGACAGGGCCTAAAAGGAGGTAATTAAGGTTAAATAAGGTAATAAGGGCAGAGACCTAATCCAATAGGACTGGTGACTTATTAAAAGAAGAGACACCAGAGCTGTCTCTCTCTACTATGTGAGGACACAGTGAAAAGGTGGCCATCTATAAGCCAGGGCTCAGGTGATCCTGCCACCTCAGCCTGCTGGGTAGCTGGGACTACAGGTACCTGTCACCATGCCTGGCTAAATTATTATTTTGGAGACAGAGTCTCACTGTCACCCAGGCTGGAGTGCAGTGACATGGTCACAGCTTACTGCAACCTTGACCTCCCAGGCTCAAGCCATCCTCCCACCTCAGCCTCCTGAGTAGCTGGGACTACAGGTGCACACCACCACCCCTAGCTAACTTTTAATTTTTTTGCAGAGACATGGTCTCCCTATATTGCACATAATGGTCTTGAACTCCTGGGCTCAAGCAATCCTCCCACCTCAGCCTCCTGAGTAGCTGGGACTACAGGTGCACACCACCACCCCTAGCTAACTTTTAATTTTTTTGTAGAGACATGGTCTCCCTATATTGCACATAATGGTCTTGAACTCCTGGGCTCAAGCAATCCTCCCACCTTGGCCTCCCAAAGTACTGGGATTATAGGCATGAGCCACCATGCCCAGTATGAAGATGATAAAATAAAATCTACCACTTGAAAAAGGCTCTGGTACCAGAGCCTTTGACAACTTTTAAAGAACAGATAATTGCTTTTTTTTAAGGTATTACTTAGATTGTAACACTTCCCAATTTATTTTAGGATGTCAGAATAAATTGAAAATCCATTTTCTAAATAAAAGTAAAAACTGTAGTCTGGTATTAAAAAAAAATTCAAGCAAGATTTGTTTCAGGAATGCAATAATGTTTGAACATCAGGAAATCTACCAACATAATCCGTTACTATAACAATTTAAAGAGAGAAAAATATACAGTGAGATCAACAAATGCCAAAATATTTATTTGACTAAATTACTAGCCATCCGTATTAAGCCATTCTTGCATTGCTATAAAGAAATATCTGAGACTGGTAAATTTATAAGAAAACAGGTTTAATTGGCTCACAGTGCTGCAGACTGTACAGGACACATAGTGCAGGCATCTGCTTCTGGGGAGGCTTCAGGAAGCTTTGACTCATGGCGGAAGGCAAAGCAGGAGCTTGCATGTCACATAGTGAAAACAGGAGCAAGAGAGGGAGTGGGTGGGGAGGTGTTACACACTCAAACAACCAGATCTCCCAAGAACTCACGATCCCCGAGGATAGCACCAAGCCATGAGGGATCTGCCCCCATGACCCAAACATTTCCCCCCAGGCCCCACCCCCAACATGGGGGATTATAACCGCCCCCAATGACCCAAACATTTCCCCCCAGGCCCCACCTCCAACATGGGGGATTATAATTCAGCGTGAGATTTGGTGGGGACATATATTCAAACTAGATCACCATTCTAACAAAAATTCTAAGTGAATAAAAATAGGAGGAAACTACCTAAATATAACAAAGACCATTTAGCAAACTACAGTGGCAAATAGTTTTTTAAATGGCAGGCCAAGTAAACAATTTACGTTCAAATCAGAAACTAGGCATAGAATCATGTTTTCACCATCTTTATTTAACACCGTCTTAGAAGTTTTCATGAATACAATAAGATGAGAAAATGGAAGAACTGGCATAAAAATTTTAAAAGAACAGTTTAAATGATCTCTTTTTGCTGATGACGTTATATACCTAGAAAACCTAAGAAAGCCAGTAAAATACTTGTAGAGTTAACAAGATAAATTGGTAAGGTGGCTATATATCAAAGCAATATACTAAATTCAATAGGTTTTTCAATTTTCTGGCAATAAGCACCTAGAAATAAAAAATGAGAAAAAATATTCCATTCATAATAATGGAAAAACCATATAAAGTGCTTCAGAATAAATTGAAAAAAAAAAAAAAAAACTATGAAAAGAAAAAGAAAATTTTATTGACAGCCACAATTTAAGAACATTAGACCTGAGAAAGGGGAAGATAAATTATATGTTTGGATGAGAAAACATAACAGAATAAAAATGGCAGTCTTTTCAAAAGTAATATATTAATAGTTGTCATCCAGTTATGTTTGTTCTAGAAAAGGATAACAATAACTGTAACATTTATATGAAAGGTGAAATGCTACAGAATAGCCAAAAAATATAAGAAATAAGAACAATGAGGGCCGGGCACAGTGGCTCATGCCTGTAATCCCAGCACTTTGGGAGGCCGAGGTGGGCGGATCATGAGGTCAGGAGACTGAGACCATCCTGGCTAACACGGTGAAACCCCGTCTCTACTAAAAATACAAAAAAATTAGCCAGGCATGGTGGCGGGTGCCTGCAGTCCCAGCTACTCAGGAGGCTGAGGCAGGAAAATTGCTTGAACCTGGGAGGTGGAAGTTGCAGTGAGCCAAGATCGTGCCACTGCACTCCAGCCTGGGCGACAGAGCGAGACTCCATCTCAAAAAAAAAAAAAAAAAAAAAAAAAAAAAAAAAAAAAAACAATTAAGTGGTATTTGCCTTATTATATTTTAAACATTTGATACAAATACTATATCAAATCAATATGATATTACAGTAGGAAAACACAAAAAAAGTCAATAACCTATACAAAGAATGTCCCCCTCTCTCTATATGAATTTAATACATAAAAAAGGCTGGGCACAGTGGCTCACGCCTGTAATCCCAGCACTTTGGGAGCCTGAGGTGGGCAGATCACTTGAGGTCAGGAGTTCAAGACGAGCCTGGCCAACATGGCAAAACGCTGTCTCTACTAAAAATACAAAAATTAGCCAGGTGTGGTTTTATGTGCCTGTAATCCCAGCTACTCAGGAGGCTGAGGCAGAAGAAATCACTTGAACCTGGGAGGCGGAGGTTGCAGTGAGCTGAGATGGCACCACTGAACTCCAGTGTCGGTGACAGAGCAAAACTCTGTCTCAAAAAAATAATAAATAATAAAAATATATAAAAAAGATGATAGTTTACCTGGAGAGAGGGTGGATTATTTTTTAAATGGCATGGCACAACTGGTTGCCCATCTGGAATAAAATAAATTTAAACCAGTTATTTACCATATTCAAATATAATTTGTAGATAGAATATGATAGAACATTTTTTTCTAGATATTTCAAGAAAATCAAATACCGTATTTACGATTTAGGAGGGGAGAGACTTTCTTAACTACAAATGAAAACTCTGAAACCATACAAGAAATGGTAAACATATTTGAATTTAAAGAAACAAAAATAGGCCAGGGGTGGTGGCTCACACATGTAATTCTAGCACCTTGGGAGGCCAGCCTGGGCAACAGACACAGTCTCTAAAAAATATATATAAGAAATTAGCCAGGCATGCTGGCACAGCCTGTAGTCCCACCTACTAGGGAGGCTGACATGGGAAGATTGCTTTTGCTCAGGAGGTTGAGACTGGTGAGCTGTGATCACATCAATGCACTCCAGCCTGGATGACAGAGTGACACTCTGTCTCAAATAAAGAGATAGCTAGATAGATAGATAGATAGATAGATAGATTATAGATTGATAGATGATAGATGACAAAAATAAAAATAAAAAACAAAAAATCCCCTCAATGGTCAAAATTCCAAATCAGCCAGTCAATTTCTACAATATGCTACATACAGTTGGCAAAATCTACTGGAATTTTGACTGAGATTGTGTTTTATCTATGTAGCAATTTTCAAATAATTGACATCTTAACAATATTTCGTCTTTTAATCCATAAACATTGTATGTCTCACTATTTAAGTTTTTGTTGTCTCTCAGAAATACCTAGTAGTTTTCAGTGAAAAGGTTGTTCCAAGGTGAACAGGTCTATGCAAACCTATCCCCAAAGTCAGAATGTTATAAATAAAGTTTCAGTGCCGCAAAAGAAATCTCACTCGAATGTAAAATTTTCTTTTTACTTCACAGCAAGGCAAGGTACTTCTATAGCAGGGTGCGCCCTTACAGATGGAGGAATGGTGAGCACACACTTGGACAAGGGAGGGGAAGGGTTTCTTATCCCTGACGCACGTGGCCCCTGCTGCTATATTGTTCCCCTATTGGCTAGGGTTAGACTGCACAGGCTAAACTAATTCCGATTGGCTAATTTAAAGAGAGTGAGGGGGTGAGTGGTTTGGTGGGAAAAATGGTTATGACAGGATGAGTCAGGGTGGAGCAGGTAATCGGAATGAGTCAGGGTGGAGCATGTAATCGAAAAAGGTTGCTTTACCAGGAAGTTAAGTTTAAAAGCAGAAGGCAAATAATTGAACATACTGACATATTGATTCTTCGAAAATAAATTTAGAACTTATATCTAACAAGAAGAAGCTAAGAGGCCAAGAAAGAGGCTGATGTATCCAGTTTTTCAGAAAGGAACATTTCATAGAGACTTATGAACAGAAGCCATGTCCATGTCTTGGGCGGTAGGGAGAAAAGATAGTGTCTGGCATCATTACTCCCACCACCCAGGACTTACATACCATAGGAAAAGCGTGACTCAGAAGGATGTGTGGGACAACTGAAGTATGATAACATTGTTACGGAATTTCTGGGAAGGGAAGAGCGTGGTCCTTTAAATGATGAAGGGAGGAAGGGAGGAAGGAAAGTTCTGGGTAGTGTAGGGCAAGGTCCCTGACTAGGGCTCCACCCCCATGGACCTAGCTAAGGACAGGCACTCCTGCCTTGGAGCCCAAATGTTGCATTTCCCAAGTCTATCTTGGCCCACCATGCCCCCAGTCCTGTGGCTATAAAAACCCGAGATCCTAGCAGGCACACCCACAAGCTGCTGGACGTGGAGAGGAGCAGATCTGTGGAAGAAGACACAAGCGGCTGGATAAGGGCTGGCATGCCAGCAGGCCATCGACCAACCAGACGAAGTGGAGTTTGGCCCAGGAAGTCGGAAAAGAGCCAGACCGCTCAGAGGCCCAACTCCAGGGGAAAACCATCCCCCTTCTTGCTCCCCCATCGGTGGAGAGCTACTTCCACTCAATAAAACTTTGCACTCATTCTCCAAGCTCACGTGTGATCCTATTATTCCACTGCAACAAGGCAAGAACCCAGGATACAGAAAGCCATCTGTCTTTGCGACAAAGTAGAGGGTATAACTGAGCTGTTTAACACAAGCCGCCAGTAGATGGCAAACTAAAAGAGCACCCTGTAAAACACGCCCACAGGGGCTCCGGCTGCAAACATTCACCTTTAGACACTGCCGTGGGATTGGAACCCCATAGCCTGCCAGTCTGTATGCTCCCCTAGAGGTCTGAGCAGCGGGGCACTGAAGAAGTGAGCCAAACCCGCATCGCACACCCTGTGAGGGGGACAAAGGAACCTTTCCGTTCCAACATCAAGGTTGTTTTGACCCAAGGGCAAGATTTACAGTAAGTACATGCTGTTACACAAGGAACAATAGATAAACTCGAAATGGTAGAGGTCTTCCCAGAACAGGAGTTAATCAGAAGTCAACATGGTGGATTAGCATCCAAGATGGAGTTGCTTTGGCCTCCACAAAGATCTTGCTCATATTTTGTTAAATGTGTCTTACGTATTTTATTTTTTTGGATGCTATTATAAATGAGATTGTGGGCAGACACACTAGCTCACACCTGTAATCCCAGCACTTTGGGAGGATGAGGCAGGAGGATCTCTTGAGGCCAGGAATTTGAAACCAGCCTGGGCAACAAGACAGACCCCATCTCTCCAAAAAAAAAAAAAAAAAGAGAGAGAGAGAGAGGCCTGTGCCAGCGGCTCACACCTGTAATTTCACAACTTTGGGAGGCCAAAGTGGGAGAATCAGTTGAGCCCAGAACAACATAGACCAGCCTGGACAACATAGGGAAACTCCATCGCTACAAAAAATAAAAATAAATTAGCCGGGCATGGTGGGATGCACTTGTGATCCCAACTACTTGGGAGGCTGAGGTGGGAAGGTCACTTGAGTTTGGGAGGTTGAGGCTGCAGTGAGTTATGATTGTGCCACTGCATTCCAGCCTGGGCAACATAGTGAGAGCCTATCTCAAAAAAAAAAAAAAAAAGAAAAGAAAAGAAATAAAATAAAAAACAAAAAAAGAGCCTGGGTGCAGTGGTTCTTGTCTGTAATCTCAGCACTTTGGGAGGTCGAGGTGGGAGAATCACTTGAGCCCAGGAGTTCAAGAGCAGCCTGGACAACATGGCAAAACCCTGTCTCTACTAAAAGCACAAACATTAGTCTGCCATGTTGGCGAGCACCTGTAGCCCTAGCTACTCGGGGGCTGAGGCAGGAGGATCGCTTGAGCCTGGGAGGCAGAGATTACAGTGAGCTGAGATCGTGTCACTGCACTCCAGCCTGGGTGACAGAGCGAGACCCTGTTTCCAAAAAAAAAAAAGAGAGAGAGACAGAAACTGTTTTCTAATTTTGATTTCCAAATGTTGCTATTATAAAGAAATACAACTGATTTTGTTTTGTTTCGTTTTGTTTTTTGGAGACGGAATCTCGCTCTGTCGCCCAGGCTGGAGTGCAGTGGCGCGATCTCGGCTCACCGCAACCTCCGCCTCCCAGGTTCAAGCGATTCTCCTGCCTCGGCCTCCCGAGTAACTGGGACTACCGGTGCAAGTTGCCACGCCCGGCTAATTTTTTTAAAAAATATTTTTAGTAGAGTTGGGGTTTCACCGTGTTGCCCAGGCTGGTTTCAAACTCCTGAGCTCAGGCAATCCGCCCGCCTCGGCCTCCCAAAGTGCTAGGATTACAGGCGTGGGCAACCACGCCCGGCCTACAACTGATTTTTTAACATTAAAAATCTTACATTTTGTCCCAGCTACTCGGGAGGCTGAGGCAGAAGAATGGCGTGAACCCGGGAGGTGGAGCTTGCAGTGAGCCGAGATCGCGCCACTGCACTCCAGCCTGGGCGACAGAACCAGACTCTGTCTCAAAAAACAAAACAAAACAAAACAAAACAAAACAAAACAAAACTTATATTTTGTGACTTGCTAACTTCAGTTTGTGGTTCTACTAGCTTTTTTATAGATTCCTTAGGATTTCCTACATCAACTATCTTATCTTCTATGAGTAAAGAGAATTTTACTTCTTTTCAATCTTTTTGCCTTTTATTTCTTCTTATTGGTGTATTAAAATGTCTAGGAACTTCAGTATAATGTTGAATAGAAGCGGTGAGAGCAGATAGCCTTGCTTTGTTCCTGATCTTAAAGGGAAAATGTTCATTCTTTGACCATTATCATATTAGCTGTAGTTTTTCACAGATGTTCTTTAACAGATTGAAAAAGTCCCTTCTATTCATAGCTTGCTGAGAGTTTTAATCATGAGTGTGTGTTGAATTTTGTTTTTTTCTGAATCTATTGAAATAATCATATTGTTTTCCTCCTTTATTCTGTTAGTATAGTGAGTTGCATTCTTTGATTTTTGTTATTGTTGTTGTTAAATCTATTCTGGATTACTGGGATAAACTCCACTTAATCACAGCGTATCATCCTTTTATATATTACTGGATTTAATTTGCCAATTTAAAAAATCACTCTTGTGTCTAGAGTTATGAGGGATATTGACCAGCAGGGTTTTCTTTTTCTTGTAATTTCTGCCTAATTTTCGTTTTAGGGTAATGCTGGCATCATAAAATCAGCTGCAGCCAGGCATGGTGGCTCACACCTGTAACCCCAGCACTTTGGGAGGCCAGGGTTGGAGGAACCCTGGAGCCCAAGTGTTTGAGACCAGCCTGGGCAACATAGGGAGATCCCATCTCAACAAAAAAATAGAGAAAATTTGCTGGGTGTGGTGGCAAATGCCTGTAGTCCCAGCTACTTGGGAGGCTGAAGTGAGAGGAAAACGAGCCCAGGAGGTCAAGACTACAGTGAGATGCGATCATGCTACTGCACTGCAGCCTGGGTGACAGATTGAGACTCTGACTCAAAAACATAAAAAATAAAAATACAAAACATAATAAAATGAATTGAAAATGTTCCTTTGTCCTTAATCCTCTGAAAAACTTTGTGTAGGATTGGTATTATTTCTTCCATTAAATATTTGGTAAAATTCACCAGTGAAGTCATCTGGCTCTGACACTTTCTTTGCTTAAAATTTATAAATCATAAATTCATTTTATTTAACAGCTATAGTGCTATTCAAATTTCCTATTTTTTTGAGTCAGTTAAAGGAATTTTAAAATTCCTGTCTTTACAGGAATTTTAAAATTCCTGTCTTTACAGGAATTTTTCCACTTCATGTAGGCATTAATTCACATGAGATTTTCTTTCATGGATTTTATATCCATAAGATCTGTCATGATATCCCCTCTTTTATTTCTCATATTAATAATTTGAGTTTTCTTTCTTTTTATTCTTGCCAGGTTTATCAGTTGTTTTAATATTTTCAAAGAGGCAACTTTTGGCATTGTGAGTTTTCTCTACTTGTCTGTTTTGCTACAAATAATTATCTTTTAAAGAGATTAAAATATGAGGAATAAATTTAATGTTTCTTTCTCAAAGATTTCCCATTCCAGGTACTCTTCATTCCTTTGCACAGATCCACATTTTCATAATTTTTCTTCTGCCTAGAGAGCTTTCTTATAGTGCACATTTACTTGCAATGAATTTTGTCAGCTTTCATTGATCTGAAAATCATTTTAAACTTCATTTTAAAATTTTTAAATTTAGTTTTTAATAAACCTACATCACTCAACAGTACTCTCATCCAAGTACTAACTAGGCCCAACCATGCTTAGCTTCCAGGATTGGACATGACTTCATTTTTGAAAGACATTTTCACTGGTAGATAATTACTGGTTGAATATTTTTTCTTTTAGCACTTTAAAGATACCATTTGATTGTTTTCTGGTCTGCATAACTTCTCATGAGAAAATTGTTACTTTTTAAAAAATCTTTGTTCCTTTGGCTACTTTTCTCTTCCACTGGTTTTCAACAATTTGAAACTGATTTCCTTTTATGGAGCTTTCTGTATACCGCTTCTACTTTGGGTCTGTTGACTTTTTTGGATCTCTGGATTGACAGTTTTTATCAAATTTAGAAAGTACTTGACCATCTTTCAAATATTTTTGCTCACCTATCTTTTGCTAGGATTTCATTTGCATATACGTTAGACCACTTGATATTGCCCCTTGGCTCAATTCACTTATATTTGGTCTTTTTTCTGTATACTTCATTTTGCATAGTTTCTATTGTTCTTACCCAAGTTCACTGATTGTTTCCTCTGCAATGTTTAATGGGCTCTTAATCCCATCCGGTTATTTTTCATTTAATAAATTATATTTTTATCTCTAAAAATTTTATTAACATATTTTATGTCTTCCATTTCTCTCCTCCTTATGTTCACATTTTCCTTTAATTCACTTGTGTATTTTTTAAATTTATAGTAGCTGTTTTAATGTTTTTGCTCGCCAATTACATCACTTCTGTCGTTTCTTGTCCCATTTCTATTGACTAATTTTTATCCTAGTTATGGATCATATTTTCTGCTTCTTTGCAGGCTGAGCCATTTTTTGTTAGATGCTGGACATTGTGAACTTTACATTGTGAAGTACTGAATTTTTGTATCCTTTTAAAGAGTTTTGATTTTTGTTCTGATGTTCACTTTAATACACCTGAGGATTAGTTTGAACCATTTGAGGCTTTGTATTAAGCTTGTTATGGTGGGTCCAGAGAAGACTTTACTTGGCTGTTTGTCCACACTCCTAAGGCCTGACTCTTCTGAGGGCTGTACCTGATGCCCTGTCTATGACAAGGCCTCTCCAATCCAACTGGTGGGAACACAAATTATTCTCTGTATGAATGCTGGTAATTATTTTGCTCATTCTTTTCCGGTGTCTACTTCCAAAATTCCTTTCAGTCGCGTGCAAATCAGTACTTAGTCAAATATTTTATGAAACCCCTCTACAGTTCTGCAGAAGTCTGTCTCTACTCAATGCCCTACCCTCTAGTTCTCTGTCTCACAATTCTAGCAGCCTAATCTCCCCGAACTGTGATTTCTGTCTTCATGAGTTTTTTGTAATATTCCTTTAAAGTTATTGTAGTATTCCTATGGAGTATGCAACTTTATTCTGGAAGGTAATTAAGTGACTTTTGGATCAACTTCATCTTTTCAAGGTTTGATTTTACGTGTTTTAAGGTAAGTAGAGGTAGCCTTTACTGTAGAACTAGTTTAGCTCTACTATTAAGCTGAAACCCTCTGGGATCTCTACTCAATGGCCCATTTATTCAATGAGGTCTCTCTACTTTCTCTGATGGGCACTAAAATGATCCCCAGGCTTTTGGGAGTTCTAAAAATTTTCTACATTACAGCACCTCTGTAAATGTTCATTCCACAGCATTTGTTCTTTGCCCAGCCTCATGGAGTTTCACCCTTCAGGCACACAGATTTGAATTTAGTCTCAAAGACTCAAGGGAGGAAACCCTATGCAAATTTCTGGAGTTCTTTTTCTAGCTCCTTTCTCTCCTTTTTACTGTCCCACAAATTTTAGCTGCTTCGGAACCCCTGAACTTCAATTACTATCATCCCATCTTAATGAGACCTTCCTACACTGTGGTTAGAAATTGTCCCCAGACAGAAAGCCAGTGCAGTTAAAATGCTCATCTAGATTATTTCCCTTCACTCAAAGATCACAGTCCTGTGCTGCCTGTTGTCCATTTGTTTAATTCCACCCTCTCCACCCTGTTTCTTGTTGTCTACAGTAGGAGGGAGAGGAGTCCCAGAGTAGTTACTTCTTTAAGCATGAAAGCAAAAGTCTAGCTTTGACTTAATAATCAAACTGATTCTTTGTAGCAGTCCCTGAAATTCTTGAACTTACAGAGTCAGTGATTGAAAATGGTTGATGAAACTTCCTTTGCTTTTGAACATGAAAGAAAGCGCATGAGGATGGAGGCAGTAAGATGCTATATTAATGCTGTCAAGCCCATAGTTCATGGCAATAGTCTTTCTAATGAAAATCATGCCGGGGGTATTATTATAAGGCCATAATATCAATTTATTTATTTATTTGTTAATTGACAAATTAACATATTTAATTTCCCTTTTTCCACAGAGCATCATAAGGGGTCCTATTGGGGAAGAGAAGAATCGTTGAGTTTCAGCCAAGCTTTATCTCCTTATTGAATCATAAAAAATAATACAGCTGGCCTGGCGCAGTGGCTTATGCCTATAATCCCAGCACTTTGGGAGGCCGAAGCGGGTGGATCACTTGAGGTCAGGAGTTTGAGACCAGCCTGGCCCACATGGTAAAACGCTGTTTCTACTAAAAATACAAAAATTACCCAGGTGTGATGGCGGGGGCCTGTAATCCCAGCTACTTGAGGGGCTGAAGCAGGAGAATTGCTTGAACCCAGGAGGTGGAGGTTGCAGTGAGCTGAGATCGTGCCACTGCACTCCAGCCAGAGCAACAGAACGAGACTCCGTCTCAAAAAATAATAATAATATAGCTCATAAAATCTATGCCTGGAGAGATTTTCGTGTTTGCTGCTGTAAAAGTGACAACAAATAATATACCCATTATTAATAAATGGTTTTCAGTTATTTATTGATTTAACAAACTATTTTTTAATGCCTACAATGTGCCAGGCACTATAGTAGGCACTGGACATACAAATATAGAGAAGAAACAGCATCTGATGTCAGGGAGCTTATGACACAGTGAACAGTCCAGCTCCTTGTCTTAGTCCACCTGTGCTGCTATCACAATATAACACAGATTGGGTAATTTATAAAGAGCTGAACTTATTTCCCACAGTTCTGGTGGCTGGGAAGTCCAAGATCAAGGTTCTGTGTCTGGTGAGGGCATTTTCCTCATAGATGGCACCATCTAGGTGTCATCACATGTCAGAAAGGATGGAAGGGCAAAAGGGGGATGAACACTATGTCCTTTCACATGGTGGAAAAAGTGAGAAGAGTGAATCCATTTTCTCAAGTCTTCTTCTAAAGGCCCTATCCCATCCATTAGGGTTCTGCCCTCATGACTTAATCACTTCTTACAGGACTCCATCTTTTAGTATCACATTGCCGATTAAGTTTCAACATAAGAATTTTAAGGGGCCCATTTAGACCATAATACTTCTGAGCATTTCATTATGATACATTATATAACTGCAAAAATAAGAATGTATATAGGGCATTATGGGAACACAGAGAAGAAATATCTAATGCAGTTTAGAGGAGAGAAATTTGTAAAGTCAAATACAGCAGAAAATGCCAGAGGAATAACTAAGAAATGTCTATTGGATTTGGCAATATGAAGATTATGGTTAATTATATCAGAATAGTACTATGGGAGCAGATGGCATGGTTAAGAAGTGAAAAAAGTAGAGACAATGCATGAAGACATCCTTCTTGAAATGTGGATTAGAAATGGAAGAAGAGGCCGGGCGTGGTGGCTCAAGCCTGTAATCCTAGCACTTTGGGAGGCCGAGGCAGGCGGATCACTTGAGGTCAGGAGTTCGAGACCAGCCTGGCCAACATGGTGAATCTCATCTCTACTAAAAATATAAAAATTAGCCAGGCCTGGTGATGCGTGCCTGATATCCCAGCTACTCAGAGGCTGAGGCAGGAGAATCACTTGAACCTAGGAGGCGGAGGTTGCAGTGAGCTGAGATTGTGCCGCTGCACTGCACTCCAGCCTGGGTGACAGAGACTCCATCTAAAAAATAAATAAATAAATAAAAGAAGAAGAAGAAGAAATGGAAGAAACCCCGTTAAAGGTGGTGAAGAAATATAGTGTGGGATTAATACCTGAAGCCCTAGTGCTTGCATTTGGAAACTGCTCTAATGTTTCTTAGTGTGATCTTGATCCAGTTACTTAAACCTCTCTGTCACTTGGTTTTCTTTTCTTTTTCTTTTTAGATGGAGTCTTGGTTTGTTGCCAGGCTGGAGTGCAGTGGCGCGATCTCAGCTCACTGCAACCTCCACATCCCAGGTTCGAACAATTCTCCTGCCTCAGCCTCCCTCCGAGTAGCTGGGACTAAGGTGCGCACCACCACGCCCAGCTAATTTTTGTATTTTTAGTAGAGACAGGGTTTCACTAGGTTGGCCAGGATGGTCTCGATCTCTTGACCTCATGATCCACCTGCCTCCGCCTCCCAAAGTGCTGGGATTACAGGCGTGAGCCACCATGCCTGGCTGTCACTTGGTTTTCTTAATCTGTAAATTGGGACAATACTAATAATGCTCATAAAATTGTTATTAGGATTAAATTAGTTAATACATGTAAAAAGAAGTCTAGTACATGGAAAATTCTGAATAATTGCAACCATTGCCATTATTATTAAGTAGGAGAATTGAAAGTTGAGGGAGAACATATCTATCAATCTAGTTTTTAGTAATCAAGAAGGCAAAGTCATCTACTGACAGTACCTGTTAATGGGCTTAATTTGGACTGGGAATACCAATTAAAAGACAGAGATTTTCAGACCAGATTAAAAAGCAAGGCTCAACTATATGCTTTCTATAAGAAACCCATAGACATAGATTAAAAGTAGAAGGATAGCTAGGCATGGTGGCTCACGCCTGTAATACCAGCACTTTGGGAGGCCAAGGCGGGCAGATCACAAGGTCAAGAGATTGAGACCATCCTGGCCAACATGGTGAAACCCCGTCTCTACTAAAAATACAAAAATTAGCTGGGTGTGGTGGCGCATGCTGTAGTCCCAGCTACTCGGGAGGGTGAGGCAGGAGAATCCCTTGAACCTGGGAGGCAGAGGTTGCAGTGAGCCAAGATCGTGCAATTGCACTCCAGCCCGGCGACAGAGCGAGGCTCCATCTCAAACAAACAAAAGTAGAAGGATAGAAAAAAATATACCCTGCAAACAACAATGAAAAGAATGCTATAATATCTATATTAATATCAAACACAGTAGACTTCGAAACAAGGAATAATATCAAGAATAAATAGGTACATTACATAATAATAGAGGGATTAATTTTCCAAGAAGACAGAAATCCAAAATGTGGATGCACCTAAAAATAGAGTTTCAAATACGTGAAACAAAAACTAATAGAACTGTTGGCCAGGCATGGTGGCTCACACCTGAAATACCAGCACTTTGGGAAGCCAAGGCAGGTGGATCACTTGAGCTCAGGAGTTCAAGACCAGTCTGGGCAACAAAGTGAGACCCCTATCTCTATAAAGAATACAAAAATTAGCTGGGCATGGTGGTGCATACCTACGGTCCCAGCTACTTGGGAGGCTGAGGTGGGAGGATAGCTTGAGCTTGGGAGGCAGAGGTTGTTACAGTTAGCTGAGATCCTACCACTGCACGCTAGTCTGGGTGACAGAGCCAGATCCTGTCTTCAAAGAAACAAACAAACAGATAAACAAAACAAACAAAAACAAACCTAACAGAACTGGAAGGAGAAATGGACAAATCCACAATTGAAGTTGGAGATTTGAGGAGACAGAAAATCAATAAAAATAGAAAAGATCTCAACAACTTTATCAATCAACTTGACCTAGCTGACATTTATAAAAAACTTCATTCAACAACAGCATAGTGCACATTCCTTTCAAATACACTTAAAACGTTCACGAAGATAGATCAAAATCTTGGCAATGAGACACTTAAACTACAGTCATCTGTCAGCATCCAAAGGAGATTGGTTCCAGGAACCTGAGAGGAAACAAAAATCTGAGTAGTGTTTGTGTCTAACCTATGCCCATCCTCCTATATACTTCAAATGAGAGTTCATAATACCTACTACAATGTGAATGCTATGTAAATAGTTGTTATACTGTATTGGTTTTTATTTGTATTACTTTTTATTGTTGTATTGTAATTTGTAATTTTAATTTTTTTGAGACGATGTATGGCTCTGTTGCCCAGGCTAGAGTACAGGGACACAATCTCGGCTCATTGCAGCCTCAACCTCCCAGGCTCAAGCAATCCTCCCACCCCAGCCTCCTGAGTAGCTGGGATTACAGGTGCATGCCACCATCCTTGGCTAGTTGTTTTTCTGGTTGTTGTTGGTTTTTTTTTTTTTCTTTTTTTAGAGATGAGGTGTCACTACATTGCCCAGGCTGGTCTTGAACTCCTGGGCTCAAGTAATCCTCCTGCCTTGGCCTGCTAAAGTCCTGGGATAACAGGCATGAGCCACCATACCTGCCCTTTTTATTTCTTAAAATATTTTTTGTCTGTGGTTGGTTGAATCCTCAAATATGGAACCAGTGGATACAGAGGTCAGACTGCAAATCAAAGAATAAAAATCATATGAAGTATGTTCTCAAGCCATAACAATCAAATTATAAATCAATGACAGAAAGAGATGTTATGGCAAATCTCCAAATATTTGGAAATTAAATGACACATTTTAACATCGCTGTATCACTTTCTATTGCTGCTGTAATGGAATTATCATGATTTTAGTGGCTTAAAAAAACACAAATTTATTATCTTACAGTTCTGTAGGTAAGAAGTCTAACATGGGTGTCACTAGGTTAAAATGAAGGTACAGGGGCTGGGCACGGTGGCTCACCCCTGTAATCCTAGCACTTTGGGAGGCCAAGGTGGGCAAATCACTTAAGATTAGGAGTTTGAGACCAGCCTGGCCAACATGGAAAAACCCTGTCTCTACTAAAAATACAAAAATTAGTGGGGCATGTTGGCACACACCTGTAATCCCAGCTACTCGGGAAGCTGAGGCATGAGAATTGCTTGAACCCCAGAGATGGAGATTGCAGTGAGCCGAGATCACGCCACTGCACTCCAGCCTGGGCGACAGAGTGAGATACTGTATCAAAATAAATAAATTAAATTAAATTAAGTTAAAGTATAGGAAGGGCTGCATTCCTGTCTGGAGGATATAGGGGAGAGTCATTTTCTTTGCCTTTTTCAGCTCCCAGAGGCCACCCACATTCCTTAGTTCATAGGTTCTTTTCCTACATCTTCAAAGCTCACAATGGTGGATCCCATAACTCTGATTTTGCTTTTGTAATCACATCTCTAACTCTCACTTCCACTTTAAAGAATCGTGTAATTACTGGAAACACCTGGGTAATCCAAGGTACTCTTACTATTTTAGGGTCAGATGATGAGCAACTTTAATTCTATCTGCAACCTTAATTCCCCTCTTTGCCACATAACTTAACATATTCACAGGTTCCAGGAATTGGGATGTAGATATCTTGTGGCCAGGGCAGGGGGAGGGCATTATTCTGCTTTCTACAATAACCCAACCATCAGAGTGAAAGTCTCAAGGGAAATTAAATTATATATAGTATATTTAATATAAATTATATATTTATTAATAAATATATTAGCCAATACATCTATTAATATTTTATCAATAAATATCTATTAATAAATATTATATCAATAAATACATCTATTAATAAATATATCGATAGATATCTAGTAATAAATATATCACTATACCTATTAATAAATATTTTATTAATAAATATATTCATTAACAGATATATTAATAAATACATCTTTTAAATGTTGAATTATATTTATAACATATAAATATATATTTATATTTCTATATAATTTAATATATGTATGTATATTATAATTTACATATAATTTAATATATGTATGTATATATTAAATTATATATAATATATGTATGTATATATTAAATTATATATAATATATATGTATGTATATATTAAATTATATATAATATATATGTATGTATATATTAAATTATATATATAATATATGTATGTATATATTAAATTATATATATAATATATGTATGTATATATTAAATTATATATATTTTGTCACCCAGGCTGGAGTTCAGTGGCACACTCTCAGCTCACTGCAACCTCTGTTTCCTGGGTTTAAGCAATTCTCCTGCCTCAGCCTCCCGAGTATCTGGGGCTACAGGCCTGTGCCACTATGCCTGGCTAATTTTTGTATTTTTAGTGGAGACAGGGTTTGACCATGTTGGCTAAGCTGGTCTTGAACTCCAGAACTCAGGTGATCTGCCCACCTCAGCCTCCCAAAGTGCTGGGATTACAGGCGTGAGCCACCACACCTGACTAAATATATATATTTTTAACTGAATGAAAATGAAAATATACCATGTTGAAATTTATGGATGCACCTAAAACAGTGCTTAGAAATATATAGCATTAAGTACTTATAATAGGAAAGAATAAAGATCTCAAGTCAGTCATCTAATTTTCCATGTTAAGAAACTGGAGAAAGAAGAGCAAATTAAACCCAAAGCAAGCAGGAAGTAAGAAATAATAAACAGCAGAAATCCATGAAATTGAGAATTGAAAAATAGTGGAGAAAAATCAATAAAACCAAAGTGGACTCTTAGAAAAATAATTAAAATTGATAAATCTCTAACTTGACTGACCAAGAAACTGAGAATACTTAATAACCAATATGAAGAATAAAAGAGGGAAGATCTCTACAGACCCACAGACACTAAAGGATAATAAGGGTATGCTATGAACAACTCTAATTAGGACCAGAAGTAGACTGAGGAAAGTTCATAATAGTGGTAAAGGAGAATAAGAGAGGAAGCTGAAGCCAGAGGAATATAGGGACTGATAGCCCTGAGAATGAAGTTAGTAACTATGAATTTGTATTGATGCACAAAATTCAGGTGGCTTAGAAAATTGTTCCAGAAGTTCACTTTAAGGTTGGTGTTTTGTGATGATGCAGTGTAAATATAAGGATATATGAAAATGAAATGTGCTGGTAAGAGTTTAGATACTCAATGCGGAGTCTGAACCTGGTTGTGAGCAGCGTGGGAGTATGAGGCAGCTAGAAGTCAGGGAGAGGGAGAGAGACCAAGAGAGGACTGGTGGATGGACTGGGGAGGGAGGCTGCGCTTGGAAGTTCAAGGAAATGGAAGTTTGCACAAAAGCCAAAAAAAAAAAAATAGTGAAAATGAAGTCATAAGAATAATACCTTTAGCCATTTATTTTGCACCTACTGTGTTTCAGTCATTATTCTATACATGGGATATAATGGTAAGCAAAACAGGCAGATCTCGACTAGTTCAGGAACTTACATCTTTAGTACTGATAAATAAGTAATTATAATACTCAATAATACATGCTAGGAAGTACTTAAAAAGGGGTATAGGAGAATGGTAAGATTTTGTTTTGTTTTAGAGATAAGGTCTTGCTCTGTCACCCAGGCTGGAATGCAATGTCATGATCATAGCTCACTGTGGCCTCAAACTCCTAAGCTCAAGTGATCCTTCCATCTAAGCCTTGAAGGTAGTTGGGACTACAGATGCGCACCACCATGCCTAGCTGATTTTATTTTTTTAAAAATTTTTGGTAGAGATGATGGGGGGGTCTCACTATGTTGCCCAGGCTGGTCTTAAACTCCTGGCCTCAAGTGATCCTCTTGCCTTGGCCTCCCAAAGTGCTGGGATTACAGTGCAAGCTACTGCGCCTGGCCTAACAACAGCTGGATTTTAATTAAAATCTTTTCCAAGTAGGAATGAGTAACCAATAGGAAAAAACACTCAAATAAGTGGTACTGAATGGTATAATTCTCAGTATACACTAGTATTAATACTTACAAACTTCCCATTCGACTACAGCTATCCCAAAGCTCTCCAATCTCAACATCACAAATCTGTAAGAATCCTCAGCCAAATTATTTCACCAGGGCAAAGCAATTTCTTTATTAAAGAGGCTTTTAAAATTCTCTACACTGACTGATTTCTCAAGAAGATGCGAAAGAATAGTCATTCAGGCCCATCTCAAATAGACAAATATCTCTAGAATTTCCAGTTTCATATGACTAGTGGCATCTAGTTTTTAAAAATCAACATACTGCAGACTGACTCATTGAGACTGTTACCATTCTGAACTGAAACTTTTTAGTAATTAAAAAATTGCTGTTCACTTTGGGAGGCCGAGGTGGGCGGATCACCTGAGGTTGGGGGTTCGAGACCAGCCTGACTAACATGGAGAAACCCCGTCTCTACTAAAAATACAAAGTTAGCCGGGCTTGGTGGTACATGCCTGTAATCCCAGCTACTTGGGAGGCTGAGGCAGGAGAATCGCTTGAACTTGGGAGGCGGAGTTTGCGGTGAGCTAAGATTGTACCATTGCACTCCAGCCCAGGAAACAAGAGTGAAAATCCATCTCAAAAAAAAAAAATTGCTGTTATACATCCTATTACCAATCATCTCAAACATACACTTCCATCTGATATAATTAGGTAAGCTTCATGCCATGGTTATTTCAAAATACAATTTCTAAAGGCAAAATAAAATACAATTGGCCCACCATTTGTGGGTTCTGCACCTGTGGATTCAACCAACTGAGGATAGAAAATATTCAAGAAAGAAAATGTCTGTACTCCACATGTACAGACTTTTTTCCTTGTCATTATTCCCTAAACGATGTAGTATAACAACTATTTACATAGCATTTACAATGTATTAGGTATTATAAGTAATCTACAGATGATTTAAAGTATACAGAAAGTTGGGAGGCTGAGGTGGGTGGATCACCTGAAGTCAGGAGTTTGAGACCAGCCTGGCCAATGTGGTGAAACCCCATCTCTACTAAAAACACAAAAATTAGCCAGGCGTGGTGGTGAGCACCTGTAATCCCAGCTACTCGGGAGGCTGAGGCAGAAGAATCACTTGAATCCAGGAGGTGGAGGTTACAGTGAGGCAAGATCACGCCACTGCACTCCAGCCTGGGCAACCAGAGTGAAACTCGGATGTGCATAGGGTATATGCAAATACTACACCATTTTATATAACAGACTTGAGCATTCATGGATTTTGGTATCCATGAGGAACCCTGGAACAAATCCCCCATGAATACTGAGGAACGACTTTACATATTTATGACTAAACAACGTTTTCGGTTTCTTTACTTGCCTTCCCTTTTTAACTCTTGAGAGTGTATATTTTTAGTAGAAACTGGTGGAAAGATCTGAGAAGCTGAACATTGGACTTAAATTCCTTCTTTGACAAACATATGTAAAGTTTCTTGGGACACTTTTAGTTAACAACTTAGGGAAAAATGGCTTGTGAACTGTATCTTCTCCCCTTTTCCACCCAAGAGTCATAGGATTTTGGAATATTCTTGTTTTCTACAACTCAGAAAAAAATCTCCCCATGGTTTCCTTCTTTTTAATGTTGAAGGACACCTAAATTTTGAATTACGCTGGCAGCTTTAAATGTATGCTGGCCAACCTGGTAAATTTTATTGGGCTGCTAGTGCCTCTCTGTGGCCAGTGACTACAATTACAGCTCAGTTTATTGCCAGTGAGAAGCATTTGAAAGATTGCTTCAGATGTACAAATAGTGGCTTTGGAAGCTGCAGAGGCCAGGCATGGTGGCATTCACCTGTAATCCCAGCTACTCAGGAGGCCGAAGCAGGAGGATCACTTGAGCCCAGGAGTTCTAGACCGGCCTGGACAACATAGTGAGACCTCCATCTCTATTAAGAAAAAAAAAAAAAAGCTGCAAAGAACCTAGGGGAATGAGATTAGAACTGACCCAAAGCTGTGGGGACCTGGGCTACACCGGGGAGGGTAGATAGCTAAGCAGGGACTGGATTTTGATTGAAAGGAGAAAGGGGTGTGCATGCTGGGTAGATATCAAACATGATCACTACACATATTGTAATTGTTTCTGTGTTGCCTCCCACACTAGAATATGAGCTCCATGATGGCAGAGACATCTTGCCAGGCACTCAACAACAAAGGTTGCTGAATGATTGAGCAATAAAGGAATAAATGGGATTCATTCATAGAAATTACACATTAGTTGATAGCTGCTATTCTATTACCCTTATTAGAGGCTTAAGATGGAAAATGCTTTGAGTAAATTTTTTTTTTTTTTTTTTTTTGAGATGGAGTCTTGCTCTGTTGCCCAAGCTGGAGTGCAGTAGTGCGAACTCGGCTCACTGCAACCTCTACCTCCCGGTTCAAACGATTCTCCTGCCTCAGCCTTCCGAGTAGCTGGGATTACAGGCACCCACCACCACGCCTGGCTTATTTTTTGTATTTTTAGTAGAGATGGGGCTTCACCATGTTGGCCAGGCTGGTCTCAAACTTCTGACCTCGTGTCATCCACTTGCCTGGGCCTCCCACAGTGCTGGGATTACAGACATGAGCCACCACACCCGGCTGCTTTGAGTAAATTTTATTTAACAATGCTCCATATGCCCAGGAGTATTTCTCAAACCTCATTTTTAATACACAGTATTTTATAGGCTTAGCTCCATTCATTCCTTTGTTTCAGTTAACACATATTAATTGAGCACTACATTCCAGAAACTGGAGATACAAAAATGTGACAGACACAGTTCTAGCGCATAGCAGACAAAATCCCTGCTTTGCTGGCAAACCCCCAATTTCAGCTCCCTCCACTGTGGCAGCTGCAGGAATCGTGTTTTGTTTTGTTTTTCTTCAGGTTCGTTTATCTCTCCTGTTGTACTCCTGTTTTTCTACACTTTAGCTCCTAATACTCAACTTATTCTTTTTTGAAAGGATGCATATTATAGTATATTAACCCAAATTCCTTGAAATTTCTTGTACTTGTAGAAAAGTGATATAGAAACAGTGCATCTGTAAGTACTAGAATTTCTCCAAGTAGTTATAAAAGTGTTTTTGAATTCTCCTTTTGTCTCTGAGGAAAAATCTAATTAGAATAAGAATGTATTTTCTGTAACAGTTGCTAAAAGGAACCAATGTTCAATGGAGGATTAAAAGTGCCTTGGGGATACAAGATAATTCTACGTGGAGAAATGAAGCTGAGAAAATACTTAAATGACTATGTGAAAGACATGCATAGATAATACTGGCAAAGTTGGAAATAGTTTCTTCGAGCTTTTGAGTTTCTTATTCTTTTACTACTTGTTCAGCCCTACTCTCTGTTTGCCTCCATAACTTAATATAACCAGTGGATTTATAATTATGACGGGCTGTAAAAATATACACACTTCATTAGGCTAAAGTAGGGTTTCTTGACCTTGGCAACATTGACATTTTGGGCTGGGGCACTTGTTGTGGGGCACTGTCTTGTGCATTGTCAAATGTTTAAATGCATCTCTAGCCTCTTCCCACTAAATGCCAGTAGACAAAATATCACCAGATATTACCAAATGTTCCCTGAGGAGCATAATTACCCCTGGTTAAGAACTAGTAGACTAAATCAACCATCTTTAGTTAAGTTCCTGAGCAAGTTTATTTCAACTCCTACCACTCAGTTGAAACCGTTCAAATCAAAATTTCAAATTGCTCTCTTGTAGCTAAACCAGTAGATACTTAAGACACATAAAGACCAGTCCATACTTAACTTCACCTCTCCAAAACATTTCATGATTCCCTTTTTCTTAGAATGTTCTCTTCTCTCCTTGACATTAACTTCCCCAGTTTTCCTCTAATTTCTTTGTGTATCTCTTTGCAGCTCCTGTTCCTCTACCCATCTCTTAAAAGTCATTGTTCTCAGGTGCTCTGTCCTAGGCCCTCTGACCCTCTCACTTTATACACTCTCCCTGGGTGATCTCCTCTACCCCTGTGGAAGCTATTTCTCTCTGTGCATTGATGATGTCTTTGTCCTTTTCTCAAGCCCAGATCTCTCTCCTAAGCTGCTGGTTCATAAAACCAATTGCCTACTAGATATTTATACTTGAGAATACCTCAGGCACTTCAAAATCAAAATGTACAAAACCAAGAAAGTACAATCAAAAAATGTTTTCTTCCTCCTGTGTTTTTTATTCCAGTGAAAGTCATCACCATTTACCAGTTGACTAAACCAAAACTGCAGGATTCATTTTTTATTCCTCCCTGTCTCTAACTTTCTCACTTTTCGTAACCATTGTTCCCCAAGTCTTGTTAACTCTACCTTCCAAGTCAGTGCTTTACAAACTTTACCATGAATAAGAATCACAAGGAGGGATTGTGAAAGAAAAGTTTCTTCTTGGATTCAGTTGCAGAAATTCTGATTTAATGGGGGTGGGGGATGGCAGAATTGTATTTCTAACAAGCTTCTAACTGCTGCTGTTGCCCTGAAGACTGCATTTTATGTCACACTGTCCTAAAAGACTTCTCATTGTTCCTATAGTAAAGCCCAAGCATGACTTTCAAGGTTGTATAGAATCTTATTTACCTCTTTACATTCATCTCTCACCATATATTTTTTCAATGGTAAATGAATGAGTGAAGGATGAATGAACCAGAGATATACAAAGGCCATTGACAATCCTCCATTCCAAATGAAAAATAAGAATTATCTGACTCCTTGACTCTAGCTATTTCATCAAAATTCAACAATTGAGGTCTCTACATGGTTATATGATCATACTGGGATTCATGATATTGGTCTTTTTTTTGTTTTTCCTTGCAGATGGGGTCTTGTTTTATCATCCAGGCTGGAGTACAGTGGCATGAACATAGCTCACTGTAGTTTTGAACTTCTAGGCTCAAGTGATCCTCCCACATAGCTGGAACTATAGGTGCATGCCACTATGCCTACTTATTTTCTAAAATGTATTGCAGGGCCAGGCACAGCGGCTCACTCCTGTAATTCCAGCACTTTGGGAGGCTGAGGCAGGCGGATCACTTGAGCCCAGGAGTTCAAGACCAGTCTGGGCAACACAGTGAAACCCCATCTCTACAAATACAAACAAATTAGCCAGGCATGTTGGTGTGTACCTGTAGTACTAGCTACTCAGGAGGATGAGGGGGGAGGATCACTTGAGCACAGGAGGTCGAGGCTGCAGTGAGCCAAGATTGTGCCACTGCACTCCAGCCTGGGCAACAGAGTGAGACTCTGTCTCAAAACAAAAAATATTGTAGAGACAGGATCTTGCTATGTTGCCCAGGATGGTCTTGAACTCCTGGCTTCAAGCGATCCTCCTGCCTCAGCCTCCCAAAGTGCTAAGATTACAAGTATGAGCTACCATGCCCGGCCCAGGACATTGGTCTTAATTCACAAACGTAGTGCAAGAACAGGGGGAGAAAGGAAGAGTCATTCCAAAAACTAGGTCTCATATACATTATAAGTAGTCCATAAACTCAACTTTATAACCACCACAAAATGGGTGAGGTTGTTCTTTCCCGCCTACAGAATTAAAGCTGCATTTTACCTCTGTGCAACAATTTTTCCCCATTTGATATTGTGCTGCATGTTCATTGTTAACTTGATTTCACCTGTATAATTATTCCTGTTTTTTACTGGGGGAAGAGGAGCTACATGAATTTGCACCCTATCATGCCTCAGTCCTCACCATTCAGGAATATGTTTTGAGTTATGCACTCACTGAAGTGTCCCCATATTTTTGCAGCTCTTCTCTACGGAGGAACTGGAGCTCTAGTGTTTTTTTTTTTTTGTGGCAGTCCGTGTTAAGTTTATACAGACCAATCATAGTTGACTCTAAGACTGACCTAAATTCTTAAGGGCGTAGAATCTATCCCAGAATTGGCCTGAATCTCTTTCAATGCTTTGACTGTTATGGGCTACTTGTTTTCTCACAACATACTTAAGTACGTTTCTTATGGCTGCTGTAACAAATGATCACAAACTTGGTAGCTTAATACAACACACATTTATTCTCTTTTAGTTCTGGAGGTCAGGAATCAAAATTAGTTTCACTAGGCTAAAATCAGCATATCTGCAGGGCTGAACCCCCTCCAGAGGCTCTAGGGGCTTCTTGTCTTTTCCAGCTCTGGTGGCTGTAAGCATTCCTTGGCTTATGGCTACATTGCTCCATAATCTGCCTCTATGGTCACACTGCCTTCTCCTCTTCTGGGTGTGAAGCATCTCTTTCTGCCTCTCTCTTATAAGGATACTTGTGATTGCAGTTAGGGCCCACCCAGATAATCTCCCCATCTCAAGATCCTTAACTTAAATCAAAAAGACCTGTTTCCCAAATAAGGTAACATCTACAGGCTCCGGAATCTAGGAGCTGATATCTTTAGGGGCCGTTATCAGCCTATTACAATTTACATCTATATTTACCCACTCTGTGCTCAAAAGTATGCCAACCTACTTATTGTAACCCATGAAAACTTGCACTACCTTCTTAAATGTCAACGTAAGCTAAATGTAAAAACTTATTTTAACTTCGAAAATTATTTTGGCTGAGTGTGGTGGCTTATACCTGTAATCCCAGCACTTTGGGAAGCTGAGGCTGGAGGATTGCTTGAGCCCAGGAGTTCAAGACCAGCCTGGGCAACACAGCAAGACACGCAAGATATCGTCTCTACAAAAAAAATTAAAAAATTAACCAGGTGTGGTGGCACACACCTGCAGTCCCAGCTACTCGGGAGGCTGAGGTGGGAGGATTGCTGGAGCCCAGGAGGTTGAGGTTGCAGTGAGCTGTGATTGTGGCACTGTACTCCAGCCTGGGCAGCAGAGTGAGATCCTGTCTCACAAAAAAATTATTTTGTTTTACAATAAAAAAATTTTTAATTGCTTTGATTTAGTGATAAATGCAAAGTAATGCATTTAGTTTCTAAGATGACCAAGCTGTTAAATAATCAAATGCACACAATTTGAAAAGTTGTTGAAAGGATTGGCTGTATCAAAAAGAAGAAAGGAGAAGGCTTAAAGGAAGAACACACAGCCTTCTTCATATGTTTATAGGGAATAGGGATTCGATATATAATGTATAAATATAAACAGAAATAATTAATTGCAGGTGAAGAGAGGCAGATTTCAATCCAATATGAGGAAGTGCTCAGAAAGAACAATGGAAGGTGCTCTCTCAAAATGAAGTTCTTTTCTAGTTCTGGAAGTGTCTATAAATGTGCAAAGACCCTAAGGGGAGGAATGTGGAGGAGAGAGTTGGAAAATATATCTTTAGATACAATCATGAGGATATTTTATAAAACATAGAGTCTCTTTAATGGTTGGTTCTAAACAAATCTAAAATATTATCCTTCTCCAATTCACTTTTCAAATGATAGCCAGAGTGGTCAAATCTGATTATGTCAGTCATCTTACGAAAATCCTTCATTTGCTTAAAGACCCTTTCAGTATTGATCCCCAACTTCCTCATGGTCTCTTCTGGAGTTTTTTTTTCCTCCCTAAATTCTAGTCACATTTACAGTTGCTCAACTTTAGATGCTCCTTCCTATCTAAAGCCATTGAACATGCTGTTATCTCTGTTTGCAGAGCTCTCCTGTCCTTCCTGACTAGGTTACTCTTACCCAAAGATAACTTTCTCCAGGGAAAGCTTCTCTAGCATGCTAAATCAGTTGGGTTCTCATATATGCTTGCAAGATACTCTGAACTGTTTCATCAAGATGAAAGCATTTATTGTACAATTGAGTATGTCTGTCTTCCCTGATAAAATGTAAGCTCTGTGAGGACAGAGACATTTTATCTTGTTGATCACAGTGCCTGGCATATGGTGGGCACATTTAAATATTTGTTGAATGAATTAACCGACTCTCTTTTTTTTTTTTTTTTTTTTTGAGACGGAGTCTTCCTCTGTCGCCAGGCTAGAGTGCAGTGGCGCGATCTCGGCTCACTGCCACCTCTGCCTCCCGGGTTCAAGCGCTTCCCCTGCCTCAGTCTCCCGAGTAGCTGGGATTATAGGCTTGTGCCACCATGCCCAGCTAATTTTTTGTATTTTAGTAGAGATGGGGTTTCACCATGTTGGCCAGGATGGTCTCGATCTCCTGACCTTGTGATCCGCCCGCCTCGGCCTCCCAAAGTGCTGGGATTACAGGCATGAGCCACCACGCCCGGCCTCTTTTTTTTTTTTTAACCTGGTTTGAAGTGTGAAAGAAGTTTGATTTTTAAAAAAATGTTTACCTGACACCAGGTTTCCAGTAAATTTTCAGAAATATTAGTATGATTTCTTGGAGGAGTATGGTTTCTTGGAGGCAGGCCGGGCGTGGTGGCTCACACCTATAATCCCAGCACTTTGGGAGGCCGAGGCAGGTGGATCACTTGAGGTCAGAGTTCAAGACCAGCCTGGCCAACATGGTGAAACCCTGTCTCCACTAAAAATACAAAAAGTAGCGGGGCGCGGTGGTGGGCGCCTATGGTCCCAGCTTCTCGGGAGGCTGAGGCAGGAGAATCACTTGAACCAGGAGGCAGAGACTGCAGTGAGCTGAGATCACGCCACTGCACTCCAGTCTGGGCGACAGAGCGATACTCCATCTCAAAACTAACAATACAAACAAACAAAAAAGAATGGGGATGCAGATGAGAAAAAACAAGCAATCATCGAACAAGCCACCTCAAGGTGGAGTACCATGGAACGTCAGAGGCTTCATGAAAGTCAGAAAAACTGAAGAGCACTTGGGGTTAGGAATTCAAAGGTGGGCAGCTCTTATACAGACCTTGCCCTCAACAAACCTATAGTCTAATGAGAGTCGATAAACACTTAGCAAAGTATTAATAATATCCATGGAGTGTGTAAAGCCCTAGTAAAGGAGGTATACTGGTGGTAAGAAATACCTAATTTTGTGAGGTGGGGGAATGGAAGGATGGGGGAAGGATTGGGTGGTCAGGGACGCGGTTTAAGCTGAGACTTGAAAGATGATGGAGTAGTTGACCAGGCGGTCAGAGGAACTTGGAAGCGCTATGATTCGGGATCCCACAGAGAGAGATTCAAGGGCACCTTGGCAGATATGGTTTACAGTGACCTCTGGTGTGACAGATCATTAGCATTGTGAACATGCAAAAACGATGAAGTTCTGCCCTTCATTTCACCAGAGCTGGGCTCGCCTCAAATTCCTGGTTCCTTATTCCCGCTGGCTCCCACCAACTGAAAAGCAGAGGTGGCTCGCAAGCGGCGGGGCTCTGCCCTAGATTGCCAGTAGGCGCTCGACTCACATCCAGCTCCACCCCGGGAGATGCCCCAGAAGCCCCGCCCACGTCCAGGCACGTTCTTCTGGGGCTAGTCGCAGGGGCCGCCCCGGCACCGGCGCTCACGTGACCCGAGGTGTGACGTAGGAGGAAGGAGACGCCATTAGAGGGAGGCAGAGAGGGATCGTTCTTCGCTTTTCCTCCGGTGCCTGACGTGGTGGGCTGGGGCCCTTCATTCTCGGACTTTCCCTCAGCCCTTCCAGGCCTCGCCCGAGGAGGGCGTGGGGACAGCGCCCGGGTCGGCGGGGCCGGGGCGGTGGGGGCTGAGCCGGCCGTGGCTGTGAAGGCGCTGCCGCGGCTGTCGGGAGGGCGGCGCGACACTCGGGCTCGGGCGGCCGGGAAGCGACGGGATGGCTGCGGCCGGCGGCGGCGGCGGCGGGGCGGCGGCGGCGGGCCGAGCCTACTCGTTCAAGGTGGTGCTGCTGGGGGAAGGCTGCGTGGGGAAGACGTCGCTGGTGCTGCGCTACTGCGAGAACAAGTTTAACGACAAGCACATCACCACTCTGCAGGTGCGGACCTCGGGGAGCGGGAGGGGGCGCCTCAGGGCCCCTACCCCTCCGGGGCTGGGGAAACTTTGCCGCCCTGGTCCCCTGGATGTAGGCTGGCAAATCTCAGGCCTGTCATCTCCGCCTTCGGTTTACCTTTCCGAATTCGCCCTGGGGAATCACCAGGTCGGGGCAGCCTGTAGACGCGAGGACAGGCTGTTGGGAGGGAAGTGGAAGGGCCCTGAAAAGTCCCCAGTGTTCCCCGTGGTGGCTGCGCACGTTGTGGTCTCCGTCCGTGGGCTGTTTTTTCCCATTTACTGCAGTTCCTGGGTCCCAGGTGTCAGTGTTGCAGTCTCCAAATGTTAGCTCCTTTTCTTTCTTTCAGAATTAGGAACTTAGCTGCGTATTTGATTTTGCGAATTAGGTGATTTGTAACTTCAGCGCTTACTGATGACTAAGTGTTTATGCAAGTTCCATTTTGTCCTGAGTAACAGGAATGGCAAAAGAGCCATCTCTGGAGGTTTTTTGAAATGACCGCTTGCCTAGGCGTGTTACGCAGTTTCATTGCAGCCTGCGTGGGTCTGACTTGCGGGTCACTCATATTCTGCGAGGTCGATTGACCCACGCTGAAACATCAAGTGAATACTGGCCAACAATTGGTCCCCAGACTAAAAGCCGCTGCTGTTACTCAGTTTCTTTACCTGTAAAATAAAAGGTCGGCTTTCTTCCACAGGTACATTGGAAAGGTGTTAAAATGTTATCATTGATTGAGAGTGAAGCCAGGCCTTTGAGGGAGTTGTACTCACCCCACCTCTCCCAGAGAAATCAGTTTTGATGTTATTAGGAGAAATTTATCCTACTAATTTGACTTACCAATTTGGTCAAAGGCAGTAAAGTCTAGTGGACTTTTGAGCCTGATTGTCCAGGTTCATGTCTCACCTCCATCCATTTAACTAGCTGTGTCATACTGGGTAAGTTACTTAACCTGTCTGTGCCTGTTTCTTCTGTTAAAATGGCCATAATAGTAGTATCTAGCTCATAGGGTTGTCAGGATAAATATACAGAAAAAGCACTGATGACCTGGTCCAGTGTAAGTTGTCTGCCTTTAATTACCGCCCCAACTTGCACAATAGGTCTTAATTAGTAAATGTGTAGTATGTGAGAACATCGACACTACTTAATAGAATGCGTAATCTCCTAATTGTTGTGACATTGGATGTTTGATGCTATTATTAAACTACTGAGTCTAGAATTTACAAGACGCTCTGGCTCTGATTCCATGTTCTATTTTTACTCCTCTGATTTTACTCGTATGTAAAGCATATCTGAAAAAGTGAGTGCCAGGAAACTGCATTTTTAAAAAATCCTTGTACCAGAACACTGACAAAATTTTAATAATGAATTGTTATTGTTCAGTGTCATTAGTGAGAGCCTGGTGTTTTAGATCAAGAAAATTCACTGGACAAATACCTAGGATCATTTGGAAGTTTAGAGATTTACTTAGGTAAAGTAGTAACAATAGCTAACATTTAGTGAGTTCTTACTGTGCTGATTATTTTGCTTGCTTTCTGTCTGCTTGCTTTAATTCTTATAACACCCTATGAAGTGGATAGTTTAGTGGATAGCCCTACAGCTGAGGAAAAACGTTTAGTTGAGTAATTTTGCTGGCAGTAATATTACCACAAGTCAATGGGGCAGGAGTGTCCAAGCTCAAATTTGAACCCCTGTCTGACTTCAGATTTTGAGCAATTAAATCACATTACCTCGGTATATTGATAAATAACCCATCTAGTGTTTTCCTTTATGCAAAGATCTAAGATAAAAGAAAACTATTGTAATTGAGGTCTCCACGTTTTTTTTCAAAAGATAACTTGAGTCTTGCCCTGTCGCCCAGGCTGAAGTGCAGCAATTTCCACTCACTGCAACCTCCACCTCCTGGGTCAAGTGATTCTCCTGCGTCAACCTCTCAAGTAGCTGGGATTACAGGCACACGCCACCACATCTGGCTAATTTTTTTGTATTTTTAGTAGAAACGGGGTTTCACCATGTTGTCCAGACAGGTCTCGAACTCCTGACCTCAGGTGATTTGCCCACCTTGGCCTCCCAAAGTGCTGGGATTACAGGGGTGAGCCACTGCACCTGGCCATACCCTTTCAACTTAAAAATTACACTTCCATTTTAAATTTCTAAAACATTCTTGAAACTGAAAGCAGAGTAAAGGTTTTTAAATATATGAAAAGCCACTGTACTCCACAGAGGGGAGGATGAAGTTATAGTAGATATCCAGTATTAATATCTGAATTATATTATAGAATTTAGGATTTTGTTGTACACCAATGTATGTAAACAGCAATGTGTCTAATCTCTTTCAGAGATACCAGTTAACCTCATCTTTCTTAACAATTTTTCAGAGGAATTTGATTTATGTGACTTGTAAGACACAACTTTGTATTCTTTTAATTTCCAAATGGAGAGGAAATCATGTCAGAAGATATGAGAGGAAGAGTTCACCTTTTTTCTCGTCAACAGAGTACCTGTCTATGTAAACTACTTTGTATTTTATAAAGTACATTCTCATACATTTCAAAGAATTGCAGGATTGACAGGAATTTAAGACAGTTATGTATGGATCACTATTTTGGTCTTCTAATGTTTAGTCAAGTGATTGTCCCCCTTTTTTTTTTTAACATCTTGGAGGTGAAATGAACTGGTATTATGGAAAGTGGAAAGCTCACTTTGTCCTAAGGTGTCCCATTTCATTTTTAAATTTTTTTTTTTTTCTTTTTGAGATGGAGTCTCACTCTATCACCCAGGCTGGAGTGGAGGGGTGCGATCTCGGCTCATTGCAACCTCTGCCTCCTGGATTCAAGTGGTTCTCCTGCCTCAGCCTCCCGAGTAGCTGGGACTACAGGCATGTGCCACCATGCCTGGCTAATTTTTGTATGTTTAGTAGCGATGGGATTTTGCCGTGTTGGCCAGGCTGGTCTCGAACTCCTGACCTCAGGTGATCCACCTGCCTCGGCCTCCCAAAGTGCTGGGATTACAGGTGTGAGCCACCACTTCCGGTCCTATTTTATTTTTAGTAGTTTTCAGTCCTAATTCTCCCCACTGAGTCTTGGTGTCTCATATGACATTCCTTCTGATAGTTGAAGATAGCTATCTTGTCTTCTCTTGGGTAAACAACTCTGGCTCCCTTAACTGGATCTCCAGTGACAGTGACATCGTTTTAAATCCTTTCACTTTTTTTTTTTTTGGAGGCAGAGTCTTGCTCTAGTGGTGATATCATAGCTGCCTGCAGCCTCCAACTCCTGGGTTCAAGTAATCCTTCCACCTCAGCCTCCAAGTAGCTGGGACCACAGGCGTGCGCCACCATGCTCGGCTAATTTTTTTTTTTTGGTAGAGTTGAGGTTTTGCTATGTTGCCCAGGCTGTTGTAGAACTCTGAGCTCAAGCAATCCTTCTGCTTTGGCCTCTTGAAATGCTGAAATTACAGGTATGAGCCACTGTGCCTGGCCCTTTCACTATTTTGAATCTCTTCTAGGCACTATGTAATCATTGTCCTTTCCTTAAAGTGTGATTCCTTGAGCTGTAGAAATAATTCCAGGTGTGGTGGTTTGAACTGAACAGAGAAGTGCAGGCTGTCACCTCTCCTGTTGAGAATCCTTTTCCAACACTGAAGTAGAAGAGATTCTCTGAGCTTTTAGGGAAGCTCTCAGAATTTCTCTTTGATAAATATTGAATTTGCTGTCAACTGAAACATCTTAGTCTTAATTGCTTCAAAAAAAGGCATTATTTGTATCTCTCAGATTCTCTTTTCTTTGGTATTGTAGTTAAGCTTTTTCTTTTGTTTCTAATATACTTGACCCATTAAGGTTGGCTTTGGTAGATTTGCTCCAATAGTTAAGCCTGTTAATGTCCTTTTTAATTTGGATTCTGTAATTCACAAAACACTGACTGGGCTCCTTTGGGCCAGGTACTGGGTTGGGTCCTGGACATGGCAAAGAATAAGGTGTGGAATCTACTGTCTGGATTAGCTACTTTTTAACTTTGTCATCTGAAAGTTAGGTAAGAATGCCTTTAATGTTCTCAACAGGTCATTATTAAAGACTATGAAAGAAAGCAGAGAGAGAGGGCCAAGTGCAAAGCTCTGCAGCAAGTTTTACTGTAGTCCAGTGATACATGACCAGAAGTGCAATTTTCTGTAGACATATAGAATCTTAGGGGCTTTTTTGGGCCATGCATGGGCCACAGGCCATCCCCTCCTCCTTCCCTTGAGTAAGAAACAGTTGTTAATGGAGTGCTATACATATTAATGATAATGGAAGACTGACTGCTATGGGCTACTACCTAGTGGACACAAATCCCTTAATAAAATGTAAACATTTACTCCAGCATTACAGTTCTCCTTTTTGCCCAAGCTACATCTGTCTTGCCCACAAGGTTATCATGAGATGCTTTGTCAAATTCTTGCAGAAGACAAGATAGGCTGTGTTTCTGCAGTACTCAAATCTATTAGGAGGCCATATAATGTGGTGAAAAGAGAAAGGACTTTGAAGTTACACTGGGGTTTGAATTCTTACTCCCACTTCATAGCCATCGTGATCCTGACAGGATATTCTAATGCCTGTAAGCAAGCTCCTTTTCTTTAAAATGGGAGTACCTTACTCATAGGACTTTATGTGGATTATTACATAGACAGCCGTCATATGTAAAGCTACTAGCACAGAGCCTGGCACATGTTTGTTTAATAAATGTTTGCTGTTTGATGTTAAATGAATAAATGATGCGGGATTTATGTTTTTCTTTCATGGCAATTCAGTCAAAAAGGGTAATGGGATTATTTTCACATGAATTATTTTGAGAACTCATGCTGTCTCTGAGGGGTCATTATATTTAAAATTGCTTATAGGTTAAATATTTTTAAAACAAAGCAAATCCATTCTAGTGTTTTCACTGAGATCTACATTTCCGGAATTCACTTTCTTTTTTTTGTTTTTTAATTGTGACATTTGCCATACTTTGGTGTTTTAGTGTGGCTCTCTTTTTCCAGAGCTGCTCCAAGGTTACTGATAGTTACGGAGTAATCCTGTACGTAAGCTCTCTTAACTTATATAGAGTCCCCAAGCTCTCGTGTGATTTCCTCGCTGATTTGAGGCTTTGATAAACTTGGGAAAAATAAGAAAGACAATTGGAGTGAGGGAGTTACTACTGTTTCTCTGGAATTTACGAAGGCAATACTGTTGAATCTATGCAGTTAAATTCAAGAAACGTTTATTTTATACTTGGTATATGTCAAACATTGTATTAGCTGGGGAATATAACGATGAGCAAGGTACTTTAACTATCAGTTACTTTTCTTGACTTTATTCTTAAAGGATTGTGCCATTTTGGTTTTAACCACTTCCTCAATTTGGTGTGCCTTCTTTATATCTGTGCTCCTGGGTTATGTACCCCTTTTTTTTTCCCTTATTGAAGGTGCTTATTGAAGATTAATCAAGATCAACAGTCCCCTTTCTTTTTAGAGTCCCAACTATAGAATTCTGCTTGCCTCCTGAAGTCTAGGATAGGTGTCTGGGTGAATAACAAAGTAGTGCTGTAAGGTTGGCTAGGCAGGTAGTATCCTAACAGTTTGGCAAATGAGGAAACTAAGACTTGGATTTGGCTGGGTGCAGTGGCTCGCACCTATAATCCCATGCTTTGGGAGGATGAGGTGGGAGGATTGCTTGAGGACACAAGTTCAAGACCAGCATGGGTAATGTAGCAAGAGTCCATCTCTAGTTAAAAAAAAAAAAAAATAGCTGGGCATGGTGATGCACACTCATATTCCTGGGTACTCAGGAGGCTGAGGCTGGTGGATCACTTGAGCCTAAGAGATTGAGGCTGCAGTGAGCTATGATTGTGCCACAGCACTCCAGCTGGGTGACAGAGTGAGACCCTGTCTCTTAAAAAATGAAAAAGACTTGAATTAAATTTCCAAGGTCCCACAAATAGAAATGGTGTGCCAGCTGGGCATAGTGGCTCAGTAATCCCAGCACTTTGAGAAGTGCAGGCAGGAGGATAGCTTGAGCCCAGGAGTTTAAGACCAACCTGGGCAACATAGTAAGACCCTGTTTTTAAAAAATAAAAATACAAGGGCCGGGCATGGTGGCTCACACCTGTAAGCCCAGCACTTTGGGAGGCTGAGGTGGGTGGATCACCTGAGGTCAGGAGTTCAAGACCAGCCTGGCTAACATGGTGAAACCTCATCTCTACAAAAATACAAAAATGAGCCAGGCATGATGGTGGGTACCTGTAATCCCAGCTACTCAGGAGGCTAAGGAAGGAGAATCACTTGAACCTGGGAGACAGAGGTTGCAGTGAGCCAAGATTGCACCATTGTGCTCCAGCCTGGGCAACAGAGCAAGACTCCATCTCAAAAAAATAAAAATAAAAAATAAATAAATTTAAAAAATAGAAATGGTATGGCTTTTTTGGCCTAGTCTACTACTTCTTAAAAGAAAATTTATTTTATTTTATTTTTGAGACACTTGGCTTTTATTTATTTTTTAAACACACCTTAACCTGAGCAACACTTGGCATTCAGGTTGTAGCAGTGGTTTTACATTTTGCATCATAGTCTTGGTCTAGGAATCTTGGTTTCTTTGTTTGCATAAAGAATATTTTGAGTGTTCAAAGTATTTTGTAAGTATCCTTGAAAACCATATTACTGTTAATTTAAGTGATTTATTATAATATCTTCATACAGTATAATAATTGAAGTTCTTTTAAAATCTTTTTCTGCTTAGTATTTAATTAGTATTTTATAGAAGTTTGGGTGATTTTACTTAAGAAATGAGTTTTTGTGAATGTGGCCACAAATTTCTATATCTGACTGCCATTTTCTGCTTTGTGCTTTGAGTTACTCTTTAAACATGATTCTTTGACTTTCCTTTTGAAAGTCTTTATTTGGACTCCTAAACTAATTATAATCCTTGTTTTTAGAAACTAAGAAGAAATGTGAAAATATTCAAGCACCTAGCTTAGGTTTTGTTTTGTTTTGTTTTGTTTTGTTTTGTTTTTTGAGACGGAGTCTCGCTCTGTCGCCCAGGCTGGAGTGCAGTGGCGCGATCTCGGCTCACTGCAAGCTCCGCCTCCCAGGTTCACGCCATTCTCCTGCCTCAGCCTCCCGAGTAGCTGGGACTACAGGCGCCCGCTACCACGCCCGGCTAATTTTTTGTATTTTTAGTAGAGACGGGGTTTCACCGTGTTAGCCAGGATGGTCTCGATCTCCTGACCTCGTGATCCGCCCGCCTCGGCCTCCCAAAGTGCTGGGATAGGTTTTGTTTTGTTTTTTTCCTGAGATGGTGTATCGCCCTTTCGCCTAAGCTGGAGAGGAATGGCACGATCTCAGTTCACTGCAACCTCTGCCCCGTGGATTCAAGCAATTCTCCTGCCTCAGCCTCCTGAGTAGCTGGGATTACAGGCGCCCACCATCACGCCTGGCTAATTTTATATTTTTAGTAGAGATGGGGTTTCACCTTGTTGGTCAGGCTGGTCCCGAACTCCTGACCTCAGGTGATCACCCACCTCAGCCTCCCAAAGTGTTGGGATTACAGGCGTGAGCCACCATGCCCGGCCTAGCTTAGTTTTTTGATAGCTAATTTTTATTGCCTTGCTAGAGAGGGCTAATTTTATAAATTAACCTGCCTGAATTCTGTCATCTCTTAAGTATGGAAGTGGTAATGCTTTACTCATTTATTTTTTTATTTTATTTTAAAAATTAACAAATAGTTGTACATTATTTAAATACTTAAGCCTGCACCAGTGTTAGCAACTAGCAAGAATATTTATTTTGCACGCACACACACACACACACACACACACACAATCTTACTATCTTACTCATACACTCCCCAACGGCAGGCCCCCAATTAATGAAGTCTGTTGAATTTAGTTGATACTAGATAAAGCCAGGAAAGTATTTGTTCACAATGTAGTTACTATGTTGCTTTCAACAGATACCTTATAATTATCAAATACTACTTTAGGTGGTTTGCTTTGACAGAACGGTAGTTAGCAAGCACAGCAAATGGTCCCGCTAACAGAGAACCAAAAAATTGATTAAACAAGTTATGAAAAGACTTTAATTTGGCAGATATATTTTTTCCCTGTTATTTCTCTCTTATAATCCTTTTTTTAAGTTTTTAAATTTTTAATTTTTTTCCTCCTCCCTGTGATTACCTGTCGATTTTTTTTTAAATAGCATTTTCTTTTTTTGTCTTCCACTATGATAGCCACTGAGCTGTTGGATAAACAAGAATCAGGTGTTAATACAAGTTACAGATGACAACATGAGCTAATAAGATTGTTAATTTTGTAATATCACTAAAGCATAGAAGGTGAAATAATTGAGATTAGAAGATGTACTGGTGAAATAACTCAGGATTTGAAGGAGGTAGGGTGGAGAATGTGCCATAACTTACATGGATCCTTGCTAGTAATACTTTGTGCCTACCCTGAGAATATTTGGGGAGGTTAGGGTCCAAGAACACTTACTGTCCAAGTGGAGGAGTGCCAGATTAAGAAATGTGTGTATGTCCTAGAATAGTTAGCTTTGTGCAATGGAAAAACCATTGTGGAGTCAGACAGGCTTCCACCCACTGCAGCACCCAGCTGAGCTGTCTGACCTTCCGTGAATCACTGTATTTTTTAAAAAAAATCAGGTTCACAGCTGTAAAGTAAGGATAAATATCTACTTCACAGAGTTGTTGAAAATTAAATGAAAAAGCCCAAGCACAGTGCTTGGCACATAGTATGATTTTTCTCCCCTTCCTATAGTCCTAGAACCTTTTGAATTGGCTATTGTTTAATGTTACTCTCCCTCCTTCCGTTTGTGGACTGGGAGTTCTTTACTGAGATGTTGCCAGGCATTTATAAATCTCTTGGAAGTACGTGGGAATTGTTTTTAGTATGTGCGTATGAGTGGTGTTCTGGGGAGTGAGTAGGTTCATGGATTTCTTCATATTCTTAAAGAAGTTTATAATTACTTCTCCCCCCTCAGTACCATGTAAGAATTAAGAACCACTGCTCCAGAGTAATTATTATAACTACAGTGGTATCTCAGTAGTCTGGCCAAATTAAATGTGCCTAGTAGAGGTGGTTAAAAAAGAAAAGACAAATTTCAGCCTTTTGATTGTTTGCTGCTATCTTTTTTTATAAATTTTTATTTTTATTTCAATAGTTTTTGGGGTATAGGTGTTTTTTTGCTACATGGATAAGTTCTTTAGTGGTGATTTCTGAGATTTTGGTGCACCTGAGCAGTGTACACCATATTCAATATGTAGTCTTTTATCCCATACCCTCCTCCAAACCTTCCTCCTTGAGTACCCAAATTCCATTATATCATTTCTTACACCTTTGCATCCTCATAGCTTAGCTCTCACTTATAAGTGAGAACGTACAATATTTGGTTTTCCATTCTTGAGCTACTTCACTTAGAATAATGGCCTCCAGCTCCATCCAAGTTGCTGTAAAAGACATTATTTCATTCCTTTTTATGGCTGAGTAGTATTCTATGGCGTATATATACCGCATATTCTTTATTCACTTGTTGGTTGATGGACACTCAGGTTGGCTCCATATCTTTGCAGTTGTGAATTGTGCTGCAGTAAACATGTGTGCATGTGTCTTTTTCATATGACAACTTCTTTTCCTTTGGGTAAATACTCAGTAGTGGGATTGCTGGATCAAATGATAGATCTATAATGCTTTTAGTTCTGTAAGTAATCTCCATACTGTTTTCTTTAGTGGTTGTTCTAGTTTACGTTCCCACCAGCAGTGTAAAAGTGTTCCCGTTTCATCACATCCACACCAACATCTATTGTTATTTTGACTAATTATGGTCATTCTTGTAGGAGTAAGGGGTATGTCATTGTGATTTTAATTTGCATTTCCCTGATAATTAGTCATGTTGAGCATTTCTTCATACGTTTGTTGGCTGTTTGTATATCTTCTTTTGAGAATTGTCTTTTCATGTCCTTTGCCCACTTTTTGATGGGGTTGTTTTTTTCTTGCTGATATGTTTGAGTTCCTTGTAGATTCTGGATATTAGTCTTTTGTTGGATGCTTAGTTTACGAACATTTTCTTCCACTCTGGGTTGTCTGTTTACTCTGCTGAGTATTTATTTTGCTGTGCAGAAGCGTTTCAGTTTAATTAGGTACCATTTATTCATTTTTGTTTTTGTTGCATTTGCTTTTGGGGTGTTAGTCATGAATTCTTTCTCTAAGCCAATGTCTAGAAGAGTTTTTCCAATGTTATCCCCTAGAATTTTTATGGTTTCAGTTCTTAGATTTAAGTCTTTGATCCATCTTGAGTTGATTTTTGTATAAGGTGAGAGATGAGGATCCAATTTCATTCTTCTACATGTGGCTTGCCAGTTTTCCTAGCACCTTTTGTTAAATAGGCTATCTTTTCCCAAATTTCTGTTTTTATATGCTTTGTCGAAGATCAGGTAAGTGTAAGTATTTGGCTTTATTTCTGCGTTCTCTATTGTTCCATTGGTCTACGTGCCTATTTTTATACCTGTTTGTTGCTATCTTGATGTTTCAGCTTTCTTCTTAAATATATTCATAATTTTATTTTTTAAAAAAGTTTTCTAAAGTTTTTTAAAAAGAGTTCTCCCTTGAAGAAAATGTCTATAAAATATTAAAAACTTAGGATTTATATCAAATGAGATGATTTACGAAACAGAATCTTTCCATAGAGCAGGGCTTAAGTTTTTCATTATGAAGGAAAAAAATATTTACTAGGGATCCTTTGATAATATGCTTTACTAGTGCATCATATATATGAGTTAAAATAATTTGATTAAGAAGGAAACTTAGGAGCATATCTCCTACTAAATTGAGTTATACCTGCATTGATTTACCTGGGCATATTGTAGATGTGCTTATCTATAATAACAGTATTTGATTGTCAATTATGGGCAGGGTACTATGACTTCCACCCACTTCTTCCACAAGAGTGGAAGTGTTAGAGAGCTCAGATCTCAGTCTGAGAAGTATCGTAGCATAGTAGTTATAATTAATATCTGGAGCCAAACTGCCTGGGATTTCAAGTGGCACTGTGTCACTTACTGTGTGACCTTGGGCAAGATATTTACCCTCCTTATGCCTCATTTTCCACATCTGTAATACATGGGTAACAATTATCTCTGACTCACAGGGTGTTATTGGCACCTGAGAATTAAGTGAATTAATATTTGAGAAGCTCTTAGAACACTGCCCATTTCATTGTAAGTGCTGTAGAAACGTTAAATAAAAATATGTAGTCTAGTTAACAGAATACTTATACCCATGAAAAGATAATTTATAGTATAAGACAGTATAAGCTGCAGTAAATGCAGAGTTGATTCCCTAAAATTCTTCAGGCTAGAAAAATTTGTGTGCATTGCGTGCATGAGTATAAGAGAACATGAAATTTCAAGGAAAAAGAGCCATATTTGGATAGGTGGAATTCAGATAGAGAACAGAGAATAGGCTCAAATTAGAGTGGAATTTTATGGACAGAAGAATTGAAGAGGATGCAAAAAAGCCATATAAGTTGGAGAATAAGTAAAGAAATATTGGAAGCTGTCCTAAGAAGATAGATGTGGACACGTTGTGGAAGTCTTTGGATATAAAGATAAGGCTTTGAGACTTTTAATTGTAAATGTGGGCTCCCCAACTTTTATAAAGAAGCAGCTTATGAATGATTTTGTGAAAAGTGCATAGCACAGTACTTGGCACAAAATAAACATTTAATAAATGTTAGCTAGTATTAGCAGCAGTAGTAGAAATGACTGTGTAGTGTTTTTACTGCATGGATGGCTATTTTTGTGAATTTTTAACTACTTACCTATTAATGAACACAGATAATTTCATTGTTTTTGTTTTTCTATATAATCAGTGTTGTCATGTGTACCCTTTCCGTACAAGTGTTTTTGTGTATCCATAGTTCCTTAATGGAGACTTAATACCGTCCTTTAAATTTGCCGTGGGAGAGTGGTGGGAAATTTCAGAGGGGATGGTAGAAAAGAAATGAGGCAGCTTTACCAACTCTGATGCACTCCCTTCTTCTGAGAAATCTCCACAACACTCATGACCAAAAGGTTATGATATTAGCTGTCAGCAGGGATGTTCAAGCATACTTATTAAAAATGATAACCTGTTAGGGAACCCTTCGATGAGTTGTAAGTTGTTGTTGTGGGGTTTTTTTTGTTTGTTTTGTTTTTGTTTTTGTTTTAACCAGGGAAGCTTTGGGAAGATAATATGGCATGCAGAGCGGGGTGTAAGGTGAACCAGAGGTATTTATGTTACGATATAATAAGAGACTGGTGGTCATAGACCCCAGAGGAAATGTGAAGACAAGGCTTGGTAGATTTTGGAGGCATATAGACTGACAAGGGCTTAAGAAGATATTTCCAAGTTTCTAAACTTCAATGAGAAGGCGAATGTGATCAAAATACTAAAGTCAGAATGAAAATCCAATTTTGGGGAGAAGATCGGTTCAGTCTTTCTTACATGTGTTTGAAAAAGAGGCACTTAAATTGACCTATCCATTAAATATTCGGATAGGATTCAGATTTTGTTTTTTTTCCATGTGGCATTGATATTGAAACCATGAAAATGATTGAGTTCAAATAAATTACACAGCTAGTATGTGGCAAAGCTGAGATTCAAATCCACAGGTTCTGCTCCAAAGTTCATATTCTTAGCTCCTATGCTAGCATGAATGGGAGAAGACATTTATTGTCATAACATGTATTTGGTCTTCTCATTTTTCAGGTTACTTTGCTGTTTTGGCATTTAATTTTTCTTCTTTTCTGTATAATTTTTATTTTATTTACAAAATATCTTGAGGATAGCTTGGGCCTTGAAGGCAGACATACATGGGTTTGAACCCAGCTCTGCCATTTATATTTATCTGTAGACTCCTTGGTTAATCACTACATCCAGTGGCCTTTTCTTAGTTCTAATTTTCTGTGGTGTGCCCATAGCAAAAAGACCTTCCTGAAATTGAGGTAAAAGAAATCTCAATTGTTTCTTTCCTTCAGTAATTCACCATCCTGACCTTTTATCTGTTTCACCTTCTTTGCACTTTCTTCTATATAAATAACACCTAAATGTGACTATCTCTATACAGGTCTGAACTCAGCTCTCTATTCCTTTTTTTTAAACACGTCAGCTGACTCTGGATTCTGGATATATTTTGTCTTCAGTAACTCTTGATACTCTTCTTTCTTTCCTATCTTCATGGTCTTAGTTCAGATCTCCTTTTTTATATTTTTCTCCAATTTTGTAAGTGTTCTTTCTACCTATCTTTTCTAGTCCAACCTCCCTTCCTATCCCAGGGTCATTCTCTTAAAATATAGATCTGTTTCCCCATTGCTTGAAACCATTCAGTGATTCTCCCTTGTCAGTAGTCCTGTTTCTTCAAACAGTTGTTCTTTAGGATGAATTTGGTATTTTTCCAGGAAAAAAAGGTTCAGTGCTATACAGAAGAAAATCAGGGAAAAAAAGTTCAAATGAGTTTGGGAAATGCTTGTATAAATACAGTCAGCTAGCCTTCCTTTTGGCAGCATCCTAATGTGTTAATGTGCATTGTTGGTGTATAAAAATCAATACATAGTATTTCCAAAGTATACTTGACGTGTGTGTGTGTGTGTCTAAATACATGTCTGGTGTCTTAGAACAGGTTTTGTTGAGACCCACAAGGTAAAGTCCATCTGTGTAGTTTCATCTCTGGTATTGACCATACCCACTTGGAGTTCCCTGTGGGATGGAGTCATGTGTTTGAGGCTTCAGTGGCTTCACTCATCTATCAGGAACAGTCCCTACTGCTCCTAAAGGGGAGATCATTACCTTCTCTCTGAAGCCTTCTTTGACTCATTCAGACAACTGTTATACTTCCTTTCTCAGTACTATCTTTACAGTGTATTTGGCAAGACCCTCCATTTTAGCAATTATCACATGGAATCGTAATTCTCTTTATTTTTATTTCTCTAGTAGAGTATAAAGGGTAGAACCGTGTCCCTTCATTTCTCTGACATTAATACTTAGGATAATTATTGAATATATGTTAAACAATTGAGTTATGAAGTAACTGTGGAATCATTTTGAATAATATTGATATTTGTACATTAAGTAAACCACCAGTAAACATTTATTTTATCTTAGAAATCTCTTAGACTCTTTCTTTCTGTGATAAGGTAGCATCAAATTAAATGCTCTAGGGAAAATTTTGTTCCACATAGATAAGGAAAAATATTAAGAAAAAAATACTTATTTTCTGTGTGTTTTGTATAACCTATTTTCAGAAAACAAGATTTTTTTTTAGATAAAAATGTAAATAATGTCTTATCTTTAATGAAACAATTTCGATCATTAATTTAAAACTCGGTGATTACTTTTTCTCCCAGATAACTTTTACATTGAGATGATTCATTCATCTATAGTTGTTAGGATAAAGAACCTTATTTTATAAGAAACATTGTTTAATGTTTATTTCTCTTTTTAGGCATCATTCTTAACAAAGAAGTTAAATATTGGTGGGAAAAGAGTAAACCTTGCCATATGGGTAAGTGAACTTTTTCAACTATTATGCGTGGAGGCTTCTTCCTTTTTTCTTTTTTTTTAAAGTTAATTGGAGCTTAGCCAACACTTTTTTTTTTTTTTAATTAAAAAGAATCTTAAAATCTGGTTGAGAATTATATCTGGAATATAATTGTATATTTGAATATTGCTGTCATAACTTTTCAGTTGGAGAAGGGTCAACTCAGAGGGGTTCCACTTCAGAGAGAGGACAGGGTGGGTGGACAGCTTGCCTGGCCTTTTTTTCCCCACCCTGTGTCTCCATATTCCAGCCTTCTAAGAGAATGGCTGGTGGGTGAGGATAATGCAGCAGATACTTCTTGACTGGTGATCTTGATGCACGTGCCATTTCCCTGTCTCTCCCAGTGTGGGAACTTAAACTTAGGGCAGAGCCTATTCCTGGCTTATAATACTGTGTTGGTTGTTTTGACCCTCTGGCAACTGAAACTGGTATTTTAATGGGGGTGGGGAAGTGCTGAGGAGGAGGAAGGTTGGGAGGGAAAAAGTAACTTTTGTATATCACTAAAACATTACATATTGGTCATAACTTAAAAATTTTGTGTGTGGCCTGTTTTGCTGTTTTGTTTCTGTTAATAGGGTTTTGTGGTTGTCTTTGACTTTATGCCATATTTTCCAATTAATCAAAAAGTTCACCATAGTTGCAATCGCAGATTTGTATTTTTCTTCTGATCTAATAAGCATTTGTTGCTTTCTTTAGGATACGGCAGGTCAAGAGAGATTCCATGCATTGGGTCCAATTTACTACAGAGATTCAAATGGAGCGATTTTAGTTTATGACATAACAGATGAAGATTCTTTTCAGAAGGTATTCTATTCATGGGTAGATGTCTTAGAAGAACAATAGTAATTTTTCAAGTTTCCATTAATATACCTTTATTCACTAATGTGATTAGTTTTCTTTTTAAAAATAAAGTATATAATTTGTGCATAACTGGTGACCACTTACATTTTATTTTTCTTTTCACCTACAACATGGTGGTGTACTCATATGTTTAATGAAATATTTGATTCATATGAATTAATTTACGTTAGAATAATTAATGCCTTATTACATGGCTTTCTCAAATATTAGGGAAGGGAAATATTTGAAATTGAGCTTCAGAAAAATATGGGGGCTTTTGTTTTTCCCTCTTAAGGAAAAATCACACATATTTCCTTAATTCCATACGCATTGGGCTCTTAAACTTGGTGTGGCTGGACGGGTTCCTTTATTGTGAAGAGGAAAAAGGAGGAACAACATCACATTTAAGCTTTCTCCTTGCCAAATATAATAAAAGTTTTAAAAGGACAGTCTTAAAGTTATCTCATTAGTTTACTTCCCTTCAAAAACACACCACATACGTATGACTCTTAAAGTTGTTTGGGACCAAAAATGAGTTACCATTTAATTACCTCTGAATTTTCATCACAATCAGATGGGTTACTTATTTGACCTTTTCTCCTAAAGCTCTTCTTGGAATATGTCAACAATGTGTAACTACAGGGAATAATGCCAAGGAAGAAGCTTTTCTTGCCTTGAGTTACAGGCTTGTTCTTGGTAAAATTACTTACCTTGTTTGTTTTGTTTTTTCTCTTTATTTTTTTTCCCAGTTAAATCTGATAGAGCAGATATACAAGTTAGCCCTTGGGTTATTAATGATAAATGGAAAAACTTAATCCAAAAGTAGAAAATGAAACGATAGGTACCTTGTAGATTTAATGATTTTTAAAAGTTATTTTGGTGCTGCTGTTTGTTATCTCCCTCTCGCGTTTTGCATGAAAAGACATAGTTTAAGTATTTTATTAAGAGAAGATTGAGGCCAGGCACAGTGGCTCACGCCTGTAATCCCAGCACTTTGGGAGGTCGAGGACAGCGGGTCACTTGAGGTCGGGAGTTAGAGACCAGCCCAGCCAACATGGTGAACTCCCATCTCTACTAAAAATACAAAAAAATTAGCTGGGTTTGGTGGCACATGCCTATAATCTTAGCTACTTGGGAAGCTGAGGCAGGAGACTTGCTTAAACTGGGGAGGCAGAGGTTGCAGTGAGCCTAGATCGCGCCACTGGACTCCAGCCTGGGTGACAGAGTGAGACTCCATCTCAAAAAAAAAAAAAGATCGAGTCATTTAGGTTGAAAGGGACCAGTTGTCTACTACTGTGTAACAAAACCCCCAAAATTTTTGACTTAAAACAATAATTTATTATTTCTCATGATTCTGTGGGTTGACCAGGCAGGTCCACTGCTCTTTGTGATGTCACTGGAGTCACTCATAGAGCTGCACTGAACTGGGAGTTTGGCTGGAGCTGGAATATCCAAGAAGGCCTAGTTCTCCATCTGGCCTCTCACTATATCTGGTGTGTTATCATCCAGTACTCTCTCTATGTGCTCTCTCATTATTCTGTATTCTACCTTAAGCTTTTTATATGACAACTGGATCCCAAGAGTTAAAAGTAGAAGCTACCAGGCCTTCTTAAGACTTAAGTCTGAGATTGGCACAGCATTACTTCTGCCACATTCTCTTGTCAAAGCAGGTTACAAGGCCAGCCCAAATTCAGAGGGTGGGGAATTTGACTCTACCACTTAATGGGAAGATTAGCAAAGAATTTGTGACCATCTCTAACTCAACAAAAATGTATGGGGGTAAAGAATAGATAGAGTGCTTGTGGAGGGGTATCTAATTTGAAATGACTAACAAGCTTTTTTTTAAAAAAATTGATCAGATTAGTAGGTTGTGATACTATATGCACATGGAAGAGAGGGATACGTAATTGGATTCTGCTGTGTTTCTTTTGAGGTGGTGAAGATGTATATTTTATGCCAATTGTATTGGCATAAAATTTTAAGTCAAATTTTTCTTATGTGAAATCAATAAAGTGGAAGTTAAATGCTTTGAAAACTTTGTACATATATGTGAATGAAACAAAAAGGTGGGGCTATACTGAGAAAACTGTCATTCAGTGCTGTTATAAAGATAATGTGGTGATGATAACTACCTTTGCTTTTATAAGGATTTTGGGTTGCCAAAGATAGTTCCTCTTCATTCTGTAGAGAATAGGAATGGGGAAGTGTTACATTTGTACACCATAAGACCAGATGCACAGTAAGTGGTTACCACATAGCTAATGTAATTTTTGGAATTTACAGATATATGTGTATTTTTTCAGGAGGTTTTATAAGTTCAGTGTGATTTGATTACATCCAGATTAAATTTCATTGAAAAGAATGAAGGCAGGTGTCCAAGTTTGCCTTTTATTCTGTTATTATAATCAACATTTAAAATCATGAGTTCAAAAGATTCATCTACTTAATTCCAGTTTACTGCCAACTGTGTCTACTACTATGCTTCACTCATACTGGAGAATCAGTTCATAACTGGAGTTACTGTATATCATTGGTTCTCTACCGGGGATGGCAATGCCTGGAGACATCTTTGGTTGTCACAACTGGCGGATGCTCTTGGCATCTAGTGGGTAGGAAGTCAGGGATGTTACTAAACATACATTGCACAGAGCAGTGCCTCACAACAAAGAATTATCTGTACTAAAATGTCAGTATTGCCAAGGTTGCAAAACCCTGTCGTACACTAAATGATTGAATTATTTTAGCACTCTAATTTTTTTTGGTGCTTATATACATTTTTTTTTCTTTGTCTTTAAGTGTGTGACACTGAAGCTCCTTTGCCCTCTATTTAGGAATCAATTAGGGTATAAAAGACTGTTTTAAACCCATATGTTCCTAAGTCCAAAGTGACACTGTTATCTATATTGTTAAAGCATCTGTTATCAGAAGCTGGAGTTGATATGCTTTTGCTCTAGTGAATAGCTTTGCTTGGCTCTGTGGAAGACTGATGCAAATTTATAATTAGAGTTGCTTCTGTGTATTTTTCCATTGTATGTTTATATGTATATAGTTTGCAATATAACCTGGCAATAAATGATTCTTCAGTGAATCATTTCTAGTAATAACTAAATAATATAGACTCTTAAAATTCTGAGGTATTTTGACAGTGTTGAGTTTTTTGGGTGTTGTGATAGTAGTAATTCCAACAGGATTTGTTTTAATATGTGCTCTTTTGTATATACAGGTAAAAAACTGGGTCAAAGAATTACGGAAAATGTTGGGAAATGAAATCTGTTTATGTATAGTTGGTAAGCATCATTACTTTTTTCTAAAAAAAAAGTCCTCTGTTTCCTTAATGTTTTATTGAAGACAAGTAATTTTTGTTTTAAAGTTATATGAGAAAGGAAGAATGGCATATTAATATAAATATTTTAGAATAATTTAGGATTTAGCCTGGTGCAGTGGCTCATGCCTGTAATTCCAGCGCCTTGGGAGGCCAAAGTGGGTGGATCACTTGAGGTCAGGAGTTCAAGACCAGCCTGGTCAACATGGCGAAACCCTGTCTCTCTAAAAATACAAAAAAAAAAAAAAAAAAAAAAAAAAAGCCAGACAGTGGTGGCATATGCCTATAGTCCCAGCTACTTGGGAGGCTGAAGTGGGAGAATCACTTGAATCCGGGAGGCAGAGGGTGCAGTGAGCCAAGGTCGCACCATTGCACTCCAGCCTGGGTGATACAGTGAGATTCCATCTCAAAAAAAAATAGGCTGGGCACAGTGGCTCACGCCTGTGATCCCAGCACTTTGGGATGCTGAGGCAGGTAGATCATCTGAGGTCAGGAGTTCAAAACCAGCCTGGCCAACATAGTGAAACCCCGCTCTAATAAAAATACAAAAATAGCTGGGCGTGGTGGCGGGCACCTATAATCCCAGCTACTTGGGAGGCAGAGGCAGGAGAATCACTTGAACCCAGGAGGTGGAGGTTGCAGTGAGCCAAGATCACGCCATTGCACTCCAGCTTGGGCAACAGAGCGAGACTGTGTCTTAAAAAAAAAAAAAAAAAGAATAATTTAGGATTTAGAAGTGATTTTCCAGGAGATTCAAACTCTAAGGAATGCCTTGGGGAGCAAATTGGAAACTAAACAGTTGGGGCTTCAAGTTTCCCAGCCTTGCTTCAATTTGACCTTTCTTTTTCACTGTATGATTTTGCTTAGAAAAAAAGTTTAGTAACTACTTTAAAATAAAATTAAGGAAATGACTTCGGCTTGTGTTCTTATTCTGTACATTTAACTATACATTTTTGAGTAATGGTCAGATTTGGCCATAAGGATACAAGTAGATCATGATCCCAGGGTGGAGGAATATTCCTAATGGGTATAAAGGAACTCTGCAACTCACTTTTGGACTTCTGGAATTTCTCTTTGGTTCCCTTTTTCTTTAGATTATTATTTCTGTGATATCACAAGTATTGAACAATAAAAGTATACTAAACACTGTGCTGTGTACTCACAGACATTATCTCATGTAATCCTCATAATCCTATGAGGGTTTTATAGAGGAAGGTGAGTCCTGGAGATAATAACTTGCCCAGTGTCAGGTAGCTTTCAGAGATGGGATTTGAAATGAAGTCGTTCTGACTCTTAGGTTACTAATCCTTAAGATGTATAGCCTCATGCTGTTTTCTCGCTTTCTTTCTACATACCTGATAATATTAAAAGCAATATGGGAGAAGCCAGGGTAGGATCATTTCAGTGGAAGACAAGGGTAGTATCTGGGGAAATGAAAGAATGGAATGGTCAGTTTGGGCAAATTCTGCTTTTAGCCTTAAGAATTTTTTTTTTCTTGAGACGGAGTCTCGCTCTGTCACCCAGGCTGGAATGCAGTGGTGTGATCTCAGCTCACTGCAACCTCCGCCTCCTGGGTTCAAGCGATTCTCCTCCCTCAGCCTCCCGAGCAGCTGGGACTACAGGCACGCACCACCACGCCCAGCTAATTTTTGTATTTTTAGTAGAGACAGGGTTTCACCATATTGGCCAGGCTGTTCTCAAACTCCTGACCTCATGACCCACCCGCCTCAGCCTCCCAAAGGGCTAGGATTACAGGCGTGAGCCACTGCACCCGGCCAAGAATTTTTTTTAACTTGAGTTTACATTTCTTATCTCTTGCCACCATTACATTGGTAGCTTTATAGTACCAGATCAGGGGCAAGTCTTGGGGGAAAAAAGCGAGATGATTTCCCCTGCGTTTTGGTCTAGATGCTAGATGTTAGGCTAGGCAGGAATATTTCAGACTGGAACACTGAAGTAGTAGGCTACTTGGAGATTTGGAACCAAAGCTACAGCTAATCAGTACTGAGTTTTGTGTAACTTTGTGTGGTATATGGACTTACTAGGAGTGGAAGTGGCCACAGTAGATGAATGACTGAAGATTTAATATTTTGGGATTCTGATCATCTTTCTGAAGATAGAAATTACTAACACATACATAAAGTCAAGGAAACCCCAAGAGCTTGTTACTTGACCAAGGTCACAAAGTAACATTTAAAAAATCATCTAAGTTAAACAAGCTCATGAATAGTTTAAAGTGTGTTTGTTTTTTTTTAATGTTCAATGAAGTACCTTTTATGTTGCCCCTCTCTAAAAGTTGAAGGCATAACATTAAATTGAACCTCAGGGAAGATACTTTCACTGGAGCATCAGAGAGAGTGGTTGCCAGATAGTGAATTGGTTTCTTTAAAAATGTTTATATAGTGTATATTTTTAATGTTCATATTATAAGACGTTTTAGGAATATTGGATCTGGTAGCCTATTGCCTCAGGTAGGGTCAAATACCCCATTTAATATTATATAATGTTTATTAATTATTAGTGTGAAGTATAGAAAGCTCTCACTTTCTTCTGTTGACAAGTGTGACATGGAATTTTACTTGGAATTCAGAGTTGGGAGAATTCTGAGAACTTAGGGACTGATTTGAGTAATAATAAAACTCCAGTCTCCCGTTTAAAAAAAAAAAAAAGAATTCTGAGAGCTTATTTACTACTTTTCCCAAACTTATTAGGATAACTTAAAGGATTAAAAAAAAAGTATTTTGGGCCTCGTTACAGATACACTAAATCAAAATCTCTATGGATGGGACTAAGAATTAATTCCTTCTTTTCACCCCATCTTTCTTCCTTCTACAAGTATTTTTGAGTGGCTTCTTTGTACCAGGCACTGTGTGCTGTTAATTCTGATTTAGTGTACATACACGCTGGTGTTGGAGAACAACTTATTTTTTCTGACACAGTGCAATAAACGAATTTTTCTTCACATTTAGCTGAAATCATACTCCCTGTATCCTTCACTTAACTGATTTTTAAAGTGAGTTTTTCATTATATGTACAGAAAAGTGTACAAATCTTCAATAACATAATTTTCACAAAATGAAAATTGCACGGTGTAAGCAGTACCTAAGGACCCTGAGTTGTGTTGCTTTTTCATCCCAACACTCACAGTTGTTTTCCCCTCACCATTCCCCACCCCCGTCACTATCCTTTTTACTGCATGAATTAGTTTTGTTTTGAATTTTATATAAATGGAATCATATAATATTAACTCTTTTTGGGTCTGGCTTTTTTGACTTTACATTATGTGCCTACGATTCCTTTATGTTGTATATAGTTGTTCATTTTATTCTGATTGCTGTCTAATACTTTAATCTATGAATACTCCACAGTTTATCTGTTTTGCTATTGATGGACATTTGCATTGTTTTTCCCACTTCTTGATTTTTATTCTCTGTTGTAGTAGTTCAGTGTTTATTCTCTCTTCTGTTTTATTAGTAACTTTGAAATAATACTACTACTTCTCAGGGTTATGATGAAGATTATATAATGATTTGAAAAATACTTGGCATAGAGGTAAACATTTGACAAGAATTCATTCTTTTCTCTTTACATAAGATAACCTTTCAAGCATTTGAAGACTACTTAAACGGCTCACTTTAAGTCTTAAATTCTCTAGATCAGCTGTTTTTTTATGTGGCCTACCTTCCAGACATTCTGATCATCCTGATCATTTTCTCTCCTAGGTTTATTTTATTGTGTCAGTATGTCTCCCACACTTGGAAATAAACCATAGAATCCAAATGTTGTTGAGCTAGTATGTTCTTATAGACCCTGTCTCTCTCCTCACACTGGCCTTCTATCAGGATTGCCTGAGATTGCTTAAATTTTTTAGCAGACATGTCAACTAGTCTCTTTTACATAGGTTATAGTTATCTAAAATCTCAAGTCCTTTTTTATAAGTATTGCTATTCAGCCAGATGTTTCCCAGCTTGTTCTCATGTAACTATTTAAAGCTAAGTAGAAATTTCAGTTTGTCATGTTTTTGAATCTTTATGTTTGATATACAGTCTACTAGCATTTTCATGTGTAAATTGAATACTTAACCTCCTAGATCCTTATCTAAGTCCCTGATATCCATGTGCTAACCAGTAATAGAGAACCACATGTTTCAATAGCAGAGACTTTTTCCTCTAGGTTGTCATTAATCCATTGATAGGCACCCTTGGCTGTGGTTGATAGTATTCTGCATCTAGTCTATCCTTAATATTTGTATGTTTCTTGAACAAATATTTATTATTAATCGTAGTCACCATTTACTGAGTGCCAGGCACTGTTTTAAGTACACATTTTTTACTTCATTTAAGCCTCCTGACAATGCTGAGGGGAAGACCATTTCATTTTACAGATGAAAAAATGTGCTTAGAGACCTTGAAACTTCCCAAAGTCACATAGTTTGTTAGAAGTAGACCTGGGATTTTAACTCAGATCTGCCTGCCACTTCAAGCCCATATCCTTAATAAACACTTCATTGCTTACTATGTGCCAGGCTTTGGGAATAGTGTAGTGAATAAGTAAACAAAATAGATACGGTTCTTGTCCTCCCAGAGTCTCTTGTGTGGAAAAAGAGAGGAAAACAAGCTACTATTATATGTTATAATAAATGCTATGGAAGGGAAATGCAGAATGGAGTGCTATGAGAGCACAAAAGCAAACAAACTAGATTTGGGGTGCAAGGGGGAGATAAGGGAACATTTCCTAGACCAAGTGTTGGATAAACTAAGTTAGCTAGATGAAGCCAGTAGGATGATGGTAGAGTGCGTTACCTGCAAGGCGTGGTGGCTCACCCCTGTAATCCCAGCACTTTGGGAGGCTGAAGCAGGCGGATCATTTGAGGTCAGGAGTAAGTTTGTATTACCTGTCATGGACTTTAATTGTCTTACAACAATATTGACTTTCCATTTGATCATTCACTGTGATGAATGTCATTAATATTAATAACTGTTCCTTATTGAGCATATAGTATATGCTAGGCCTTTTACATATATCTTATTTTCACATCAACCCTGCAAGGTTTGTTAGCGACACATGCGTACAGTGAGACTAACAGAGGTTAACTAATTTGTCCAAAATATTACAGTTATGGCCAGGCGTGGTGACTCTGGCCTTTAATCCGAGCATTTAGGGAGACCAAGGTGGGCAGACTGCTTGAGTCCAGGAGTTTGAGACCAGCCTAGCAACATGGCAAAACCCCATCTCTACAAAAAAATACAAAAATTAGCCAGATGCGGTGGTGTGTGCCTGTAGTCCCACTCGGGGCTGAGGCAGGAGAATCGCTTGAGCCCGGGAGGTGGAGGCTGCAGAGAGCCGTGTTCACGCCACTGCATTCCAACCTGAGTGACAGAGCAAGACCCTGTCTCAAAAAAAGGTAAAACAAAAAAAAAATTACAGTTATGGAGTAAGCAAGGACTTAAAAACAAGTTTTATCACATTTAAAAGCTTTCTGAAAGCTTCTTTCCACTGTGCCCCACAACCATTCAGTCTAAGCATAATATGATTCTAGTTCTATATCATTAGGCCATTTGCCCTTAGCAGTGGACATGCCCCTTCTATGTTCTTAATTCAAATATGTATTTTTAAGGAAGATCTGCTTAACTTAGAGGGTAGCTTTTTCCCTCCCTTTCCAATAGTGTCAGCCTATTTGTTTATGTTTTTAATTCTTTATAGTACTATACTTTTAAGTAGGTGCTTGCTTTGGTTATTGTCCTTGTTTTCAGGTGTTTTAAGCCTATCAGAAAGTTCCGTATGTAGCTGCACAGTAGTATTGAAGCAGATATGAGTCTCAAAGCCTTACTCCTTAGCTGTCTTGCTTTTGAAAAAATATAGAAACTAAAAGGGTTTTTGAGCTTTGGAAAGAGGTCAGTCACTAGCCAGTCAGGTTTCTGCAATGTATTCTGTGCTGTCAATCCATTGTGAACACTGATTATTCAAAGAAATAATAGTTATTTAGATTTAAAATATTTTAAGTTTAAAATAATAGGTTATTAAGATAGCTATTTATTAATGGCCTGATTTATTAAAATTAGTCATTTAAAATATTATCAAATAATAAAGCAGTGTCTGAATTATTTCTCCTAAATGTTCATTTGAGGCAGTAAGGTGATTGCCTGCTTTTCCTCTCTTCACTCTTTTTATAGGTATTGATGATATTGATGGAATTTGGAACATGAGCCATTAAATACCTAGAAAAAAATTCCATAGGGTTTTAGGTAATTGAAGCAAAATTAATATTGCTACTTTTAGTAGGAGACTATCTTATTTTGCCTTTGTGAGGCAGAATCTTTTTCCTGTTTGTTGGAGCCACTGGCCACCAGGTGGTGCTTTTTGCATTCTTTACAGAATAACACGACGGTTTTTCCTCTGGTTACTGTCAGACATTGTCATATTTAGCTAATTAAAATTTCCAATGACAAATATAATGTAGGAAGTTAGAACTAATATGAAACTTCTTGCTGTGGTAGATAGCTGTTCAAAGAAGGAAGAGTTTGTTACTGAATTTGTTGGTATCCACTGAGCTTTAGTGTTGTCTGCTTCCCTCTCTCTGATTCTTAGGCTATGGTGGCAGATAGTTTCTTGCAGTTGCCAGCAACTAGGTTCTCAGATTATTCGAGGTCCTCAGTATATAGAACCTTTGGACTTGTCCACCTCAGTGCTAAACATTTTATCTTTTATTGGGTGCTTATTTCAATGCCTTATCTGAAATTTATCTGAAATTGTCTCCTAGAATCTATATGGTTCCAAGAAAAAAAGTAACCTTATTTATAAGATTTCTCTTTTCTCCCTAAAAGCCATAGTAGAAGAATAAAAATGTTTGTTTGAAGTGTCCTTCCATAGGGTATTTTTCCTTATCGTTATCTACTGTTTTTATTACCTTTAGCACTCTGGGTGTCCAGCCAACTCATCTTAAGTTCAAGGAATCAGTATTTTGCAGTTTCTTCATTTTTGTTCTGATGGCTTTTTTTAAAAGTATAATCCCAGCTTGGTTCTGTTGTTTAAGGAGAGCTAAACTTATAATTTAAATCTGCATGATATACATATATTAAGTTTTAATAACTCACTAAAATTGTTTTTTAAACAAAGAATACAGTTTTTCCGGCCGGGCGCGGTGGCTCAAGCCTGTAATCCTAGCACTTTGGGAGGCCGAGGCAGGCGGATCACGAGGTCAGGAGTTCGAGACCATCCTGGCTAACACAGTGAAACCCCATCTCTACTAAAAATACAAAAAATTAGCCAGGCGTGGTGGCAGGCACCTGTAGTCCCAGCTACTCAGGAGGCTGAGGCAGGAGAATGGCGTGAACCCGGGAGGCGGAGCTTGCAGTGAGCCGAGATGGCGCCACTGCACTCCAGCCTGGGTGACAGAGCGAGACTCCGTCAAAAAAAAAAAAAAAGAGAATACAGTTTTTCCCCTTATGATTGTGGAGTACTTAAAAATCTGTACACTTTAATTTTTACTTTAACTGGTTTATATCATCCAGGAAACCAAAATACTTGTAGGATCCAAGAGGCTAGATTAATATATTTTAGTAAACACTAAGATAGCCATACTTATTGACCGGCTCTAAGTTAATGGGAACTGTAGAAAATTTTGCTCTTACTTTTGATCATTTACACTTGCCTAAGAATCATAGGTTTATCTCTAGGTCTCTGGTATCCCCCAAAATCAAAAAAGAGTGCCTGTCTCTTTGGAAAAGTTGTTTTCTTTGTCAGAGGCTGCAGATTCAGGAAAGGTATGAATTGAGTCATTTGAAGGAGGATGAGGCATGATCAACCCTCAGATCACAAGGCTTAACTTTATAATTTCAAGACATTAGAAGTCTGGTGGGGATTTGCATTATTTTTGCTGGTAATTAAAATGGCAATTTTATATTTAGAATTGGCTTAATTTTGTTATGAAAATAAATCAGTATAAAGATAAATATTTACTTTTTTCAAAATAGGTAATAAAATAGACTTGGAAAAGGAGAGACATGTTTCCATTCAAGAAGCAGAGTCGTAAGTACTGTGACCCTCCCATTCCCCATCACTCCCTAGTAGAAATCTTCCTCTTTATACGTTTTGCTTTACCATTTAGGTATTACTCAAATCTCTTAGCATGGATTGAGGTGTTGGATTCAGTGAAGCATGTTTACATGGTAATTTCTGGGCTTGTGGCAATAAAGCCCTTACTTCCCTTTTTGACTTCAGTGAAAAATACGAGTGATATAAAACAAAACTATCATGATCAAATAGGCAGTAAGCCAGAAAAACTTTTGAAGTATTTGAGTCCCAAATTAATCTATAAAAATTTCGAGGCTTGTTATATTTGTGTTATTTAAAATTTGATTTAATGTATAGAGAATTTAAATAGCTATATAAACTTAATTTCACTAAACTTGAGTAAATTAATATGTCACTAAAACTGTTACTATAAAAAAGCAGTTAAGACAAAATCATGAATAATATTTTACATCAATCACCGATGTTACTTTTTTTTAAGGTATGCAGAATCTGTGGGAGCAAAACATTATCATACTTCAGCCAAACAGAACAAAGGAATTGAGGAACTCTTTCTTGACCTTTGTAAAAGTAGGTATATTCAGATTTAGTTTGTTTAGAAATGGTTTTTGGTTTTTATTTTTTAAAAAATAGTATGTATTTTACACCAGTGTTACTTTTCAAAGAATTGGTTCTTTTTAAACTATTGACTATTGGTAGTATTTCTGAAGTGCTGTAACTATTTTTTTTAATGCTTAAATACCTACTTTAACCCTGTTTCAAGCAGTAATTAATGGTTATGAAATCATAAGTATGGTGTGGGCTAAATATATATTATAATATATGCATAAGTATTAAAAGTGGAAGGGGAATTTACATATTAAAACAGATTTAAGACCTGTAACAACCTCTTGCAATGAATGGACCTTATTTGGACACTGATTTGTCAAACTAGTGAAAAAGAGTGTTTGTGAAACAAGATATTTGATGATATTAAGATACTATTAATTTTTTAGGTGTGATTATGGTATTGTGGTTATGCTTTATAAAAGGAGTTCTTATCTTTTAAAGACACATTAAAATAATTTAGGAATAAAGTTATGGGTCTGAGATTTGACTCAAAATAATGGTAGGGATGCTTAGGGTTATTCATGAAATTGGGTGATGGATTTTCATTATGCTGTATTTTCTACTTTATGTTTGAAATTTTCCATATTAAAAAGTTTATAGTTTTAAAGAAAAAGGAAAATAAATTTATATATATTCTGAAAATCATTTCTTATATTACCAATAAAATGCATATCTGAGTTTATGGACTTTAGACTCTTTTGAGAATTTGATGAAATCATGGTTTTTCTCTCTAGAAAAGAATATTGATATGTGTGTGTGTGTGTACACACACACACACATTTTGGAATAAATTAGTTTTATAAAACCCTCAAGTCATTCATAATTCTTCTAAAATATTGATTATGTAAGTGATGTCCCCTGATCAGCAGCATCAATATCACTTGAAAATATGTCAGAAATGCAAATTCTTGGGCTCTCCAAGCCTGCCGAATCAGAATTTCTAGGGATGGTGCCCAGAATCTGTGTTTTAACAAACGCTTCATATGATTCCAATGCACACTAAAATATAAGAGCCAATGCTGTACATAACAACTTGGGGATCTTATTAAATGCATATTTTGATTTAATAGGTGTGGGATAGATTGAGGTCCTCATTTCTACAAGCACCCAAGTGGTGGTGATGCTAGTCATCAGGATATCCTCCTTCCTTACCTCCCTCCCTCCCTCCCTTCCTTCCTTCTGATAATGCTTTTAAATAACAATGCACTAAGTCAGTGGCTTACAAATGTTATAAATATCACATCTTCAAAACAATTTTTGCATGCTCCACATGTTTATTTAGAAATTATATAACATGTACAAGTACTAATATGTACATTTTAAAACATACCTAAAAAATAGAAATTTTGGAAAGTTAAAAATAAGTAGATATAGAATTTATAATGTTTTCTTATTTCCTCTTGTTGGATTGTCCCACATACCTCAAATTGTAAACCATTAATCAAGAGCAGTCTCTAATTTAAGAGCCCTTTTGTATTTTAAGGACACCCTCTTTTCTTCCTTCATCTTCTCAAATACGTGTTTTGTAAATACTTTCTCTCAGTCTGTGTTGTGTATTCCCATTTTTCTTACCTGTGTCTCTTAAAGTGCAGTTTTAAGTTTCAGTGAGGTCCAGTTTATCTATTTTTCTTTTATGATTCATGTTTTATGTCTTACATGAGAACTCTTTGTGTAAGCCAAAGTCACAAAAATTTTCTCCTATGAAGATTTTTCTCCTGTGTTTTCTTCTGGAAATTTTGTTTCATGTCTTACATTTAAGTGTATAATTCATTTTTCGTTGTTTTTTGCATAAGATGTTAAGGTGTGGGTTAAGGTTGATTTTTTTTTTTTACAATAGATGTCCAGTTCTATTAATACTACTGTTTTTTGAAAATATTCTTTCTTCATTGAATAACCTTGGCAACCATGTCAAAAATCAAGAGACCATATCTACGGGGTCTATTTCTGGACTGTGTTTTTTTGGTTCCACTGATCTATTTCTCCTATCATTGTCTCACTGTTTTGATTAGTGTAGCTTTATACTAGTTCTTGCAATCAGGTGGTGTGAGTCTTTCTGCTGTGTTCTTCGAAGTTCCCTCATCTTAAACTCCATTATTCTTCAAATATCGCTGTGGTCAGGGACAGTGGCTCACACCTATAAGCCCAGTGCTTTATGAGGCCAAGGCCATAGGATCACTTGAGCCCAGGAGTTTGAGACCAGCCTGGGCAACATAGTGAGACCCCCATCTCTAGCAAAAAAAAAAAACTCAGCCAGGCATGGTGTTGCATACCTGTAATTCCAGCTACTCAGGGACTGAGGCAGGAGGATCAACTGAGCCCAGGAGTTAGGGGCTGCAGTGAGTAAGTGATGATCACACCACTGCACATCCAGCCTGGGTATCAAAGCGAGACCCTGTCTCTCAAAACTAAAATAAAAAGAATCATTTACTTAAAAGTATTACATTTCTAGTTGAAGAATAAATCCTGCCCCCTAAATATTACTTGGAATAATTTGAACTTCTTTGACATATTTCTAAGTGTGTTTGGAAAATCTTAAGGATTATACTTGTACGCAGGCAATTGTTCAGAGCAAAAAAATTTTTTTCTTTATTGATATCACTGTGGCCATTATACCACTGGATAAATAAGCTTACTACTTGATACTAGTTTTTGACACTAGTTTTTTAAAACATGCAGGTGAAGCTGTTTTAGTGAGCTGACCCAATGTTCATTATATTTAGTTTCTTTGTTGGTCGAAAGTCAGAAATAGCTATCATAGTGTTATACTGAAATTTTAGAAAGAGAAAACACAAATATTGTGGTCCTAATAATGTTTGCTTTCTCTCTGTCTTAGGGATGATAGAAACAGCACAAGTGGATGAGAGAGCAAAAGGCAATGGCTCTAGTCAGCCGGGAACTGCAAGGCGAGGTGTACAGATTATTGATGATGAACCTCAAGCCCAGACCAGTGGTGGAGGGTGCTGTTCTTCTGGATAACTGTTCACGCCTAAGAAATTAAAAGACAGAACAAAACTGTGGATCATTGCCCTCAACATGAAGACTGCCATATTCCAAGTCACATTATTTTACCAATGGAATTATAGAATTAACAGTATTTTAAATTACGTTTATAACACTGCAGAGACCTTAAGTGCTAAACTTAGTGGAGTTTGTGACCAGAGAATTGGCATTTTCTACAAATGTTTTTTTTTGTTTTTTTTTTGTTTTTTTTTGTTTTTTTTTGAGACGGAGTCTCGCTCTGTCACCCAGGCTGGAGTGCACTGGCTTGATCTCGGCTCACTGCAAGCTCCACCTCCCAGGTTCACGCCATTCTCCTGCCTCAGCCTCCCGAGTAGCTGGGACTATAGGCGCCCACCACGACGCCCGGCTAATTTTTTGTATTTTTAGTAGAGACGGGGTTTCACCAGGTTAGCCAGGATGGTCTCGATCTCCTGACCTTGTGATCCGCCCGCCTCGGCCTCCCAAAGTGCTGGGATTACAGGCGTGAGCCACCGTGCCCGGCCTACAAATGTTAACAAAGCAATTACCAATGGCCTTTTTACATATTTTTTCTTTAATGAGGAATAATATGCATGTAGAAAAGACCTACTTAAAGTCTTCATTTATATTCTTTCAAATCAAATCTTTATTTAATAACTTATATATGTTGTTGGAATGGTTACATTTTTGCAGCCCTTTGTATTTTGTGGTAGTTGAAATTGTATCACTTCTAAACAGCAAACTGTTTTTGTTTTTAATTAGCAGATATCTGAAGTACTATTTTTGCAGGGTTTGCACAGGCCCGTAACTGTCTACTACTTTGATATAATCTGTATACATCCTGTATGCTGAGCTGGTAAAATACATTGTAAATTACATATTAAATATTTTATCTGCTTTTACAAGCGCAAGGTGCAAAAATATATACAATAGTCTCATTGATGACTGTAAAGTGAATTAACATTTGGTGATTATGCCTAGCTTTTTTGACTAATATAAAGATCATAGCTCCCCTTCACTTCTGTCTTAACTTGAACATGGCGTGTTTAAATTTTCATACATACTTTACTTGAATTATTGCTGTTGTCACATATTTTTGCCTCTGTGAGTTCATCTGATGATTGAGCAGTAGCATTTGCCTTTTGGGTTTTTTGTTTGTTATTATAGAAGAGATGACTTCTGCTGATTTTGCTTTAGAATGGTTACCTTAGAAGAATTTGGGTGGCTCATGTTGAATTTCACTTCTGCAATAGCTTTCATTTTCTCATAGGCTTTATAAGAGATGGGTTCAGTGGTATGAGCAGAGGAAGAGATCCCAGATAGTAGCCAGTTAACCAAGACTCATTCATATAGCACGTAGTTTATGTTCCTGAGGCAGCACTTTTAGATCCTTTGTGAGCAAGTTCTATTTGTTCATTGCTTGCCAGAGATGAACACAGAATGTTCTGTTTCATTTTACAAGAACTATCCTGAGTTTCTGTGGATGGAAACATTACATGTAATGCAGATATAGTGAACACTGGAAAGATTTATTAAAGAATTATATTTGTGTATACTTTATAAATTAGTCCCTCATTAGATTTTTTTTTCTTAAGCATAAGACTGAACTTAAATGTGTTAATTTTAGTAGAATCAGGCACTGCTCGCAGAAGGAACACAGATTGTAGAGATTAACATAAATTGTTCTTGTTCTAATATATATATTTTTTCATTTCTGTCGTGCTTGGAAAACTAGTAAATATTATGTCTAAGATAAAATGGAATGGCCCCTGGATTTACTTCTTATAAGAAGCAGTAGTATGTAATAAAGCTATTAGCATGAGCAATTAAGAGGCTATAAAGAGATTATAGTTACAAAAGAAATACTGCCATATTTTTAAGTTAATAACTTAAACCTTCTCAAATGGGTTAAAAGTTGAATGAATTGACACCCTGATGTTATGATGTTGGAATTTTAACTTAAACTGGGAGGCATTCTGTGAGCCTTCACTTTACCTTCTTTAATTATTGTCCTTGCTAAACTCAACACAGACTTTTCTGTTATGTGTTTTTGAGGAAGTTGGGGTGGGAAGAGTCAGGGAGATAAGCTAAAATTGTCTTCTTTTATGGGGTAATTGTACTCTGTAGTCTCTTGGTTTCCTGTGAAGTTAGTATTTATGTGGGGGTGGGGGAAGGTAGCAAGAATCATGGGTATCACGGTACTTTGTTTTTGACCTCCTGGCTCTTTCAGACAGAGTGAAGAAAGCTTTTCCATTCTTACTGTTGTAGAAGTAGATAGGAAATAAGCTTTTCTCATTACAGTGAAATATGTTTTAAAAACTAGAGTAGCTGGGCACAGAGGCATGCATTTGTAGGGCCAGCTACTTGGGAGAGTGAGGCAGGAGGATCACTTGAGGCCAGGATTTCAAATCCAGCCTAGGTAACACTGAGACCTCCATCTCGTAAAAGGCACAAAAACTAGTTAGAGATGAAATTGAGCTTTATTTTAAAAAAACGTTCTAAAGCCTGATAATTGGAGAGCTATACTTCAGCTTTTCATCCTACTTTAATGAAACAGCTAGATAGGAACCTCTGCTCCAGAATTGCCAGATAATTATTGGTGGGTCATAACTATTCTTCATATTTTTTTTTTCTTTTTTCTCCTTTGGTTTCTGTGTTATCTTTCTTAACCTCACGTATTTCTTTATCCTTTTTAGTGGGGGCCTGTAATTGAGGCTAATTCAATAGCAACAATAGACAACATGATATGGCTGCTGTCACTTTGAAACCCAAAAGGTCTTTGGGTAGGAATAGAGTAATGAAAGAGGACCAGTCAACTTCAGTATATATACAAAGGAAAGACAAAGAGATGATAAACCAAGGCTGAGGAAATTTTTCTGATGCTTTCTTCATTTCTCTAATATACCTTTTGCATTCTTTTTCTGATAATTGTGCTATTAGGCAGAAGACACAAGTTACCACGTTGTGTATTAAAAGCAGTAGGTAGGTTGTGCCAGTATTTTTTCAGCCAGTAAGCATATACAGTTAACTTATATAATTAAAAATTGGTTTAAGATAGTGATTAAAAATACCTGAATATTATGTTAAAAGTATACAATCATTGTTTCTGTAATGATGATGGGTATTCTGCTTCTTGTTTTTCATTGTAATTACAGGGGAAGATTGTTTTTGAAAATGTATATTGCCATGCTTTTGGGGTAAGCAGTAATGTGAAAAGAAAAAAGCATTATGTTATTGTATGAAATATAAGTGTTCAGATTTGTTTTGTCTGGGGTGTTGCCTAAGAATACCCTAAAGCTATGGCTGTTACTGCATTGAAATCTTTTTTTTTTTTAATAGTAGCCATATGTTATTAGTGGAGTACTTTATATTTGACATTAAAGTGAAGAAGAAGAGTAGTACTTCACTTTTAGGTTTTTAGTAGTGAAAGATAAAATTGGAAAAATAGGGAAAGAGCATAGGGAGGAATAGAATGGAAGTCAAGTAAATAAAAAACTACAACCTGACAGTTTTTTAAATCACTTTGAAAAGTACATTACTTTTATCAAAGAGTTTCTAATTAAGGCAAACTATGCATTATGCCAAATATTAAGAACATTTTAAAAATGGATTGTGATACTGTTTATTTCTTTAATTATATAATTTGCAATTTTCTGTATTATAAGTGCTACCAGGATTCTAGATAGTTGATCTTACATATTCAGATAGTATAGTTTACTCTTATAATTACCCGTTACGTTATCTCTAAAAGTAGTTTGATCTGTGCCTTTAACTTTTAGAATTCATCTTTTGACTTGTTTGCCACTGTAGAGTTTTCAGTTTTCTCTGTAGATTCAGTGTGACAAAGAGGGAATACATAATTTGTGACCATTTAAGATGCTGATATTTTCTGGAAAAGGATATAGATAGTAGTAGTGACCCGCAGGAGCCTCACAATAATGTCTAAAGATATAAACTGAGTAGATCCCTAAGTACTCTTCTCTAAATTATAAAATGCATTACCTAGGCTTTAATAGTTAAAAGCTGGAATTTATTGAACCGCATCTACTTGATTTCATAATATGCATTGATTTTAGTATGTTGCTGTTCTGTTATCTGTAATCAACTATAACAGAGTAATATATTTGGTGTTCTGGACCAAAATTCGTGCTACACATATGTCTGATGGCCTTTACCTTTTCAAGAAAACAGTTGCAATTTTGAGCAAAATTTTCCTAGTTGTAATATTTTAATAGTGTTATGTATTGGAAAAAATTTAGAAATACTCCTAAGAGTTTTCAATTTCAAGCAGAAATGCTTCTCTTCTAAATAAATACCACTTAATTGATAGACCTTTAGCAGTTCTTGTGCTATCTAGGATTTATACATTTTTGCTTTTCTGGAAAACTGCTTTGGCGCATTAACCTTTCTACTGCAACATTTTCTCTTCAGTAGATATATGAGTAAACATGATGAGTTAATGTTACACAGCATACCCAGTTAGGTCTCTTATTCTTAAAGCATCTTTCTTTAGAAGTCTGCACATATTTTCAAATGCATCATATTAAAGGCACAAGTCAAGAGGAGGTGGAGTTGCCTACTTCAGTGGCCTTTATTCCCACTATACCAGTTCTCAGTCTTGATTTTGATACTTTCTGGCAACTGTATCATCTCTTCACTATCACGTATTTTAAGAAAAAGCTAAGGTGATTTCTTTACATTTGAACATGTGTAGATCAATGAGAGAATGGTGAGGGATAGCAAGGATAAAGTATAATGTTGAAAAGTAGAAAGAAGTGGTATCTGCTAAACTCTAGCTTTAGTAGCAAGCTATTTTAAGGAAATCATTGTATGTGGTACTTCCTAGAAATATGAAAGTTCCTCATTTTGTATTTAATTATGTAAGAAAATGTTCTAGGAAAAGAATAAAAAACATATATTGTCAAAGTGCCCTTTGGTAGTGCTCCCAAATGGTAGTAACTATTGGTCTCTAGTATATACTCCTCAAATATCTTTTTGCTATGTATTAATATATCTATATGTTTACATATAGAAATACATAGTGTTGTGGGTTTTAAATTTTCACATAAATTGTGTCTTACCCATGTGTTTTGCCATTTGCCTTTTCTCTTGCCAACGTGTCTAGGAGCTCTTTGGTAAATACAGACTTTTTCATTTTATTTCCTCCCACATTTCTATGGATGTGTCTTGCCTTTTTCTTTTTTTTTTCTTTCTTTTTTTCTTTTTTAAAATAGCCTCTGACTCCATGAAACCTGAAAAGGAATCTGGTCTGTTAGGTGGATTTCATTAGTATCCAAATTTATTTATTTTTTTATTTCATTTTTTTGAGACAGTCTCGCTGTGTCACCCAGGCTGGAGTGTGGTGGCTCAGTGATAGTTCACTGCATCCTTGAACTCATGGACTCAAGCAATCCTCTTGCCTCAGCCTTCTGAGTAGCTGGGACTACATGTGTAAGCCACCATGCCTGGCTAATTTTTGTATTTTTCATTTTTAGTAGAGATGGGAAGTCTTGCTGTGTTGCCCAGGCTGGTCTTGAACTCCTGGCCTCAACCATTCCTCCCACTTCAGCCTCCCAAAGTACTGAGATTACAGATGTGAGCCACTAGGCCCAGTCAGTATCATAGAATTTAAATGCAAGCCAATGCTTAGACAGAATCAGGGTCTGCTTTAAGCATGTGAATCAGGAAACTAGAAGGCCTCTTGTAATGTATTTGAAGTTCATTACTTTTGGCTGACGGTTGACTGCTTAGTGTATAAAATCTAGGAGTTAACTTTAGCAGATTCTTTTATCAGAATACGTTTTTTATTGGAGGGAAGAAGGAAAAAGAGGAAAGGTATAACTGATGGGGAAAAGTACAAGATAAACTAAAACAAGTCTTTATACAACTCTGACAGCAACTCCCATAACAGGACATGATGCTACCAAAAATTCAAACTTGTATTTGATCTGTGCCTTTAATATAGAGTAAAAACAAAAGTTCCTTTTTAGATCTCCCTTCCCTCATCATCCCACATCCCTTTTTAGAGGTAACCATTGTTAACAGTTTGGTTTGTGTCTTTATTATGCAGTTTTATATTTATATTTGGCCTTTGTAAATTTTCCATTCCCTGAATGGAACTTCTACCCTATATCAAATTCCACCCTCAACTGACCAATTTACCAAGGCCAACTAGAATCATACTTCTTTTTCTGGAAGTTTTTTTTGAGACAGGGTCTTGCTTTGCCGCACAGACTAGAATGCAGTAGCATGATCATAGCTCATTGCAGCCTCAAACTCCTGGGCTTAAGCAATCCTCCCACCTCAGACTTCGAAGTAGCTGGTATTACAGGTGCATAACACCACCACCCACGCCTGGCTAATTGTTTTGTTTTTTTTGTGGAGATGGCTCTCACTTTGTTGCCCAGGCTGGTTTTTGAACTAGTTTCAAAGTGATCCTCCTGCCTTGGCCTCTCAAAGTACTAGGATAACAGTCATGAGCCACCATGCCCACCCTAGAATCATACTCTTTTAAAGCAAGTTAAATCAGCAGTAATAGTTCTGGAACTAGAAGTTAACTACTTACTGGACTTTTGAGATGTAAGTTTACCATACATCAAGCTTAAAAACTTGTAGCGTTCTGGGAAAGTCAAGTCAAACTCTTGAATGCTATCCTCTGTGGAAATAGGGTTGGGAAAGAGCAATGTACAAGTCCAAGCTCCTTAATACACATAAAACTCTGGGTTGGGCTCATCCTCTTGGTGTATTTTCCTACTTGGAGAGCATTACAGTGTCCAACAATTTATAGGAGCTTCTCTGCACTGTCAAGACTATAGCTTAGCATATGTGTGCTATGACACAAGGTTAAACGTGTGCCCCAGAACAAATGCATTTATTCATGTTTGACTTTAAATGAAAATTCAGAAAGCAGGTTAAGCATATATGTGAGTTTAATAATTGTTTCTGTATTTTAAAAAATTTTAAAACATTCAGCTTTTTATGACTTTGGTTAGTTTCACTCATTTGTTGAGTGCCTTCTGTATGCCCAGTGCACAAACTGCTATGTGCCCAGTGTACATACATGGGAGAACCAGATAGCCAAAGTGCCTTCCTTTATCGTTGGAACCTAGAGATGAGCTGATACCTGTTGCACATAGTCCAAGATATAAGTAATTTATCTGGGGATATAAGGTCACCTGTGCACACATGTTCACATTCTGTGTTTGATCAGATATGTACCTGCCAAACTTTTGGAGTGAGATAATTAGAATGACAGTAGTTGAAGCTGACAGTGAATTTGAGGTAAAGCTGGAAAGAATGTTTTTGAATTTTGCAAATAATACATTTTCAAGCCAGATTAAAATTGAATAACTTACTTTCTAGCTTCAAGGGGGTAATTAAGTGATCCTCTAACCCAAATTGCTTTTCCAAATTTTGTGGTAGCAGTGAATAAACTGATGCCTCCTGCTTATTTAGACAGCAGCCATTTTTGTTTGGTTTGGTTTGGTTTTGCGGTGATTTTTTTTAACCTAGAAAAAATACAATTTAAAAAGCAATCATGTTGTTTTCTTTGCCTTTGACAGATGTGGCCTTGTCACCACACAGTAAGCCAGAACACAATCCATTCCTGAGTCATAGTAGGATAGTTTGTGTAATTCTAAATGCACTCTCCAGTTTAAGAGTGTGGGTCCCTTTTTTTCTATCTGAAATTGAAGATACAGGTCAGAAAGATGGTTTAATGAATATGAATTTTCTAAACATCTTTTCAGTGTCTTTTAAGGATATTTTTGATATTACAATATAATAAAGTTAAATCATCTAGTCCTCCTGGCCCTTCTGGTTAGAAAATAGAGCGAAATCATCCGTTTAAACACACACACACAAACTATCCCATTAGTTGGTTATACACAAGTTACTTTCATTCTTACTAGTTCACAAAAGGTTAGTAAATTTAGTGATTTAATGAGTTCTTCAAAACATAAAAGTCCTGTAAAGGAAAAGCTAGAGGATGTGAGAGGAGTAATTCATCCCCATCAAAAGATTTTAGCCAAAAGTAGTGGCATAAGAAATTTATTTATGCGAAAGACATAATTTTGGGTGAACTTTCTTGAAGATGGTCAGAAAGGGCATTGTTAAAGGAAGGAGATGGTAGATTTTGGGTTCTGGGTTCTAGGTTCTAGGCTAATAATTTACTACTTTGGTATGTTGCCTTGAGGCTGACATTTGCTGCTCTGCTAAGACTAAAGCTGGCCCTTTCCAATCAAAAGTGTTAAAAGCTGGCTGGGAGCCATGGCTCATGCCTGTAATCCAGCACTTTGGGAGGCTGAGGTGGGTGGATGGATCCCTTAAACCCAGGAATTCAAGACCAGTGTAGACAACATGGCGAAACCCCATCTCTATCCAAAAATATACAAAAATTAGCCAGGTGTGGTGGTGTGTGCCTGTAGTCTCAGCTACTCAGGAGGCTGAGATGGGAGGATTGCTTGAGCCTGGGAGTTAGAGGATGCAATGAGCTGAGGTCGCACCACTGCACTCCAGCCTGGACGACAGAGTGAGGCCCTGTCTCAAAAAAAGAAAAAAGAAAAAAAAAAGTTAAAAGTTGTGGCATGGTGGCTCACGCCTGTAATCCCAGCACTTTTGGAGGCTAAGGCAGGTGGACCACCTGAGGTCAGGAGTTCGAGACCAGCCTGGCCAACATGGTGAAACCCTGTCTCTACTAAAAACAAAACAAAACAAAACCATATATATATTATATATATATATATATATATATTTTTTTTTTTTTTTTTTTTTTTTTTTTTGAGACGGAGTCTCGCTCTGTCCCAGGCCAGAGTGCAGTGGCGCTATCTCGGCTCACTGCAAGCTCCGGCTCCCGAGTTCACACCATTCTCCTGCCTCAGCCTCCCGAGTAGCTGGGACTACAGGCGCCCGCCACCACGCCTGGCTAATTTTTTGTATTTTTTTGGTAGAGATGGGGTTTCACCGTGTTAGCCAGGATGGTCTCTATCTCCTGACCTTGTTATCCGCCCGCCTCGGCCTCCCAAAGTGCTGGGATTACAAGCGTGAGCCACCGAGCCCAGCTATATTTATAAATTTATATATATTTCATATATATATTATATATATATAAAATTAACCGGGCATGGTAGTGAGCCCCTGTAATCCCAGCTACTTGGGAGGCTGAGGCAGGAGAATTGCTTGAACCCAGGAGACGGAGGTTGCAGTGAGCAGACCTGGTGCCACTGGACTCCAGCCTCGGTGACAGAGTGAGACTCTGTCTCAAAAAAAAAGTTAAAAGTTGTTAACTAGATGTCGAATTATTTTCATAGTAATCACCATGTGTAAGCAATTCTCATCTGTGGAATGTTTGACAGGGATAAGATTATTGAAAATTGGGGGGAATTTTCTTAAATATGGAACTAAGAGCTAAAGAGTTCAATGATGATTAAGACCACTAGTCTGGCAAGTGACTTTTATTTGTCCTTTTCTATTGATAATGAATTCTAGGAATATGGATGGATTTCATTAGAGAAATAAAAATGAGCAAGATTTGTGATTCAGAATATTAAAAGTTAAGAATCCATGAATAGCCCCTTAAAAATATTGTCAAAGCATCATGGTATTTGTAGTGGTGCTTAAAAAAGAAGCAGCAGCAGCTGTTCTAAGCCAAGCACTGCTTGAAAACAAAACAAAACAGAACAAAACCTTATATTTAATAAAATGGAGAAATTTGGGAATGTCCCTAGCGTAATAATGCCTTCTACTGACATTTAAAGTCAGCTTAAACATCATTAGGGAAGACTATGACTGTTTCTATGACCTCTAGTCACAAATTTAACTAATTTAAGGTTAACTAATACCTCTTTCAGAGTTGGGCAAAAGAAGAAAAAAAAAGCCTTTATTTGTGATCAGTAAATTATAAATTACACAGAAGCTTCCAGCTACCTGGTATTTGCATGAAGAATTCTAAATTTTTTATATGCCATAATTTTTAGTAATGCTGTCCTTGAATTCACTTACATCTCTGCTCTGGTTTTTTGAAGCTCATTAGGATGATACCTGTCATCTCTTGGAAACACTGGAACTAGAGAACTGGAGGTGTTCACCCCCATTTTTTGCTACATTGTTGAAAACTGAGTAGAATTTTGTGTCCAAAAATCCTTAGTCTGTGATGGAATTTTTTAAAGTATATGTGAAGTTTTTTACTTCTTCAGTTTTTCAAGATAATTTTGCTGTTTTTGCTTTTTATTTATTTGCAACTAGAAATTGCATGTGCCAGTTACTTAATTTAATACATCTAATGGGAGATTCAAAGCAAACCATTAAAACTACCATATAAACTCAAATGAAATTTTATGACATTCTAATGTACATACTCGCCAAGAAATGCTACAAGGAGCCTCTCTGCAAATGCCTGATGGGGCACTCTGAGAATTAAACAGGAAATGGACAGGAAAAGAGGCAAAGCATAGAATAGCCTCTGTGGTATACACACAGACAATGTAAAATCCAAGAAATATAAGGTCCAAGGAGGAATTGGTTATTGAAGTAGAGAACCTCATCATGAGATTTGAGAATAGCTTTAGAGTTACTCTTGGGATAGTGTCTCATGGCCCTGTGAGGGAACTCTACAAATTTTATCCATTTTGCTGGGCAGTTTTAAGAGCTACTTTTTGTCTGTACTTTCCTTAATTTTCATATTATTTCTAGCTTTTACTTCATCTTATGAAAGATTAACTTAGAGGTTAGAATGCTTACATTTGCAAATAGCCTGAGGAATAAATATGTGCTTTATCAAAGTGGAACTTCTGATTTTCTGTAATATTAGGATGGACATGTGTCTGGCTTATCCTTCCTATCTAGGAAACTGGTGTCATTAGGAAATACGTTAACATAAGATCCCTGACTATAAAGTAAGACTTATTATCTTGTATAGTTTGTAGCATTTAATCTTCTATTTCAGTGATTGGTTTGGATCTACTTAATTTTAAGCTTTACTGGTCATTTGTCCCCCTCATGTTGTACCTAATAAGTGTGTAGTTTTTAAGTGAAATCATACATAATTTCAAGGAAACTGCTAGAGACAATGTTGAGTATCATCAAGAACATTTAATCAAACCTGTTGACTAAGAGCTTTAGTTTGGCTTACAATTTCATATGTAAATCCAAGAAAAAGACTTGTAAGCTAAAAAGCCTGTTTCGTTCGGAAAAAAAAGTACATAACATTTTAAAGATTTGTGAGAGGAAAAAAGCATTAGATGCGATAGAATGGAATAATCTCTTTTTAGAAGTAAATTAGTTTTTATTTCATTTGTGGGTGGTATTGAGAAAAGTGGTGGAAATAAATACATTGAGCAGATTCAGAATTTAATAGACACTTCGTGTTTCCATTTTCATAATGGGGGTTAGTCATAAACCATTCTATGTGGAGCATTTTACAGGGGCTCTGAAAGGTATACAAAATGTACTACTATAATTAATGTCCTCAAGGAACTTAAAAACCTATTGGAAGATTTATTTAACAGAGGTAAGAGAATTTGGACCCATTAAAAATGGAGGAAAAGGTAAAGTTAGTATTTGTAGATGATAGTGCAAAGCTTAAAAGGGTCAACTGAAAGTCTCTTAAAACGAATACAGTCACTGGGTATAAAATTCATCACAGAAATAAAAAGCTTTCATTTATAAAAACAACAGCCAGTTAGAAGATATAATAGAAGAAAAGGCCCCATTTAAAGTAAGACCAAAGGAGAGAAGATACCTAGGAATAAACAAGTTATATGCGTGACCACAAAACCAAAACTTTGTATTTCACATGAAAATAAATTCAAACACATGGAGATGCATATCATATTCTTGGATAGGAAGACAACATACACATTTCAGTTCTCTAAATTGAATGCAATCCCAATAAAAATATAAGGATTAAAAAAAAAAAAAACTAGATCGCTGATTCCAAAGTTTCTTTGAGGAAAAAAAAAAAAAAAAGCAAGACTAGCCAGGAAAACTGAAAAAACAATGAGGAAAGACTGGCCTTATGAAATATTTAAACAAGAGAGCTCCAATAATTAAAACAGTCTGGAACTGGCATATGACTAGACAGATCATTCAAGCAGAAGGAAAATGAACCCAGATATGGGAATTTAGTGGAGGAGAAGTGATGTTTCAGCTCAGTGGGGAAAATATGGTTTATTCATTAAAGGTAGTAGGACACTTGGGTAGCTATAGAGAACAAAGCTGGATTCATACCTCATAAACCAAAATGCATTCCAGTTTAAATATGAAAACTGAAATGTTTAAAGTACCCAAAGAGGTTGTCAGAGAATTTTTAAAGATTTTAGTGTGGTAAAGGATTTCCTGAATTTGATATAAAATTTGGAATAGAATTTACAATAAGAAATGATAATGTTTTCACTATAAATTTGTAACAATAAATTATTATTATTTTTGAGATGGAGTCTCACTCTATTGCCCAGGCTAGAGGGCAGCGGCATGATCTTGGCTCACTGCAACCTCTGCCTCCCAGGTTCAAGCAATTATTCCTACCTTAGCCTCCCAAGTAGCTGGGACTACAGGTGTGCACCACCACACCTGGCTAATTTTTGTATTTTTAGTAGAGATGGCGTTTCACAGTGTTGGCCAGTCTGGTCTTGAATTCCTGACCTCAAGTGATCTGCCCACCTCGACCTGCCAAAGTGCTGGGATTATAGGTGTGAGGCACCATGCCCAACATATAACAATAAATTATATCACTATATAAAATAAATTCCTCACAGCAAAAAACCACCATAAGCATAGTCTAAAGAAAAATGACAAATTTGGAAAAAATATTTTCAAATCATATCATGCATTGCTTAATTTATAAAGAACACCTAGAAATGAAAAAGTCCAATGATCCAAAAAGAAAAAGGTACAAAATTGTAAACAGTTTTCACAGAAAAGAATAAAATGATTCAAGCCGGAAAAAAAGTTCAACTTTATTACTAAGAGAAGTATAAGACAAAACTATACTGAGATACCAGTTTTTTAACCTATTAATCAAGAAAGACTTTTTAGTTTTATAAAACATTGTAATATTCTAGATATTATTGGTAAGAATGGAGGGAACAAGTATTTTTGCTGATAGAGGGGTAAACTGGAACAACCGCTAAGGATGACAGTGAATTCTGAATTTATTTACCCAATGTACTCTTCAAGTTGCAGAGGCTGAGAAATTATTAAACTGTTACCCAGAACTTTTTATGCAGATGGGGGGGCAGTCTGAATGCTAATTAAGTTTTCTCAACTATATGCTCTCTCCTCATGATTTGAAAGGCAAAAGTGAAGCAGAGGCCAAGTTTTGAAGTTCTTGAATGTTACGAGGTAGTGAAAAACGTTTCCATGCAGCAGTGATCAAGTGTCTATCGTTCAGCTTCCTGAATATGGATAGGCTGTGGTGGTGGCAGCAGCTTCTTAATCTGACATTCCAACCCCTAGATTGTGGTGTTACATCTTCTTTCTCCAGCTTCCCAGGAGTGAAAGGTTGTAGTGGCTGGCCTCTGGTTCCCAGCAGGGCTCCATGGTGACCAGAGGTTGTAGTTCCCCCAGTGAATCATGTTTGTGTCACTGTGGGATTCATTCCCATAGGCTCAACTTAGATTCCTAAACCCTGCTCCTTCAACCCTTCCAGTAACTTTATAAGCACCAAATTCCATTTAAAAAGTGCCTTCCTGTTTAAAATATCTATAATGGCTTCTGTTTCCTGCATTGAAAGCTGACTGATCTGGAGGGCAATTGGGCAACAGCAATCAAAATTGTCTTTTCTTTTGACCTAGCAGTTTCACTTCTTGGAATATATCCTGTAAATATGCTTATGTATGAAGGAAATGAGTTTGTACAACGTTTTTCAATGCAGTATTGTTTGTAAATTGACACCAGTAGGGGAATAGTAAAATCAATTACTATGCATGCATATAATAAAATTTTAGGTAGCTATAAAAAAGAGAATGAGAAAGCTTTGCATATTTAAAAGAAACCATCAACAGGAATATTAAGTTTTTAAAAAAAGCCAGGGCAGAACAGTCTGTATACTGTATATTTTAAAATTGAACAAGTATAGTAGACAATTGAAGTATAGTAAAGATAAAATTAATTGCACAGGCCAGGCACAGTGGTTCACACCTGTAATCCCAGCATTTTGGGAGGCCAAGATGGGCGGATCATATGAGGTCAGGAGTTCAGGACCAGCCTGGCAAATACGGTGAAATCCCATCTCTACTAAAAATACAAAAATTAGCCGGGTGTGGTGGCAAGCAACTATAATCCTAACTACTTGGGAGGCTGAGGCAGGAGAATTGCTTGAACCCGGGAGGCGGAGGTTGCAGTGAGCCAAGATCATGCCCCTGTACTCCAGCCTGAGCAACAGAGTGAGACTCTATCTCAAAAAAAAAAAAAAAAAAATTAATTGCACATGAAGTATACAAGTTCGATCTGTGAAACCACCATCACAGTGAAGATAATTAACACATCCATCATTCCACAAAATTTCCTTACACTTTCTTGTAATCCCTTCTCCCTCCCATTCCTGCTTTCTTTAAACTATAGTTTAGTTTGAATTTTCTATAATTTTATATAAATAAAATCATATAACATGTATACTTTTGAGTCTGGCTTCTTTCATTCTGCACGACTGTATTAAGGTTCACTCATGTTGTTGTTTGTATCAATAGTTCATTCCTTTTCGTTGCCAAGTAATATTCCTTTGTAGGGATTAACTATATTTTGTGTATTTATTCACTTGTTGATAGACATTTGTATTATTTCCCATTGGGGCTATTACAAATAAAGCTACTGTAAACTTTTATGTGCCCACATCTTTATAAAGACAGATGCTTTTACTTTATTAATCAGGCGAATGGCTGGATTATTTGGTAGGTATATGTTTAACTTTTTGACAAACAGCCAGACTGTTTTCCAAAGTAGTTGTACCATTTTACATTTCCACCAGCAGTATATGAGTGTTTCAGTTCCTCCACGTTCTCATCAACACTTAATATGATCAGTCTTTTCAATTACAATCATTCTAATAGATGCATTTATCATTGTGGTTTTAATTTGCATTTTCCTAATGATATATTACGTTAAGCATTTTTTAAATGTGCTTCTTTGACTTCTGTATATCTTCTCAGTGACATGTCTGTTCAAATATTTGTGCATTTATTAGGCTTTTTAAAATTTAGTTTTGAGAGTTCTTTATATATTTTAGGTATAAATCCTTTATCACATGTATGATTTGCAAATCTTTCTTTCTTGTCTGCCTTGTCTTTTTATTCTCTCAGTGTCTTTCTTTCTTTTTGTGAGACAGAGTTTTGCCCATGGAGTGCAGTGGCCACTGTCTCTCCTCACTGGAATTTCCGCCTCCCGGGTTCAAGCGATTCTCCTGCCTCAGCCTCCTGAGTAGCTGGGATTACAGGCACCTGCCACTACACCTGGCTAATTTATGTATTTTTACTAGAGATGGGATTTCACCACATTGGCCAGGCTGGTCTCGAACTCCCGGGCTCAAATGATCCGCCCGCCTTGGCCTCCTGAAGTGTTGGGATTACAGGCATGAGCCACAGCAACTGGTTCTCGAGTGTCTTTTGAAGAACAAAAGTTTTTAATTCAGTTGAAGTCCAGCTAAATCTTTTTCTTTCTGAATTGTGTTTTGGTGGTGTTTCTAAGAAATTTCTGCTTAGCTCATGGTCACAAAGATTTTCTCCTATGTATTCTAAAAGTTTTATCGTTTTAGGTTTTACATTTAGGTTTATGATTCATTTGGAATTACTTTTTGTATATGGTACAAGGTAAGAATTGCAGTCCATTTTTTTTGTTCCAGCACTAGTTGTTGAAAAGGCTATCCTTTCTCCATTGCATTGCTTTTCACTTTTTTTTTTTTTTTTTTTGAGACAGAGTCTTGCTCTATCGCCCAGGTTGGAATGCAGTGGTGTAATCTTGGCTCACTGCAGCCTCCATCCACCTCCTGGGTTCAAGCGATCCTCCCTCCTCAGCCTACGGAGTAGCTGGGACTACAAGCATGCACCACCATGCCTGGCTAATTTTTTAATTTTTTATAGGGACAAGGTCTCTCTATGTTGCCCAGGCTGGTCTCAAACTCCTGGGCTCAAGAGATTCACCTGCCTCAACCTCCCAAAGTAGTCGCATTATGGGTGTGAACCACTGTGCCAAGCCTGCTTTTACACCTTTAAAAAAAATGAGTTGTTTGTCTTTGAGTGGTTATATTTTGAACACTATTCTGTTCCACTGATTTGTCTATTTTGATGCCAATACCACACTGTGCTGATTACTGTAGCTTTATAGTCTCAACATCAAATTGTGCTAACCCTCCACCTTTGTTCTTTTCCAAATTGTTTTTTATTATTATTGTAGGTTCTTTGCATTTTCATATGAATTTTAGAATCAGCTTGTTAATTTTTATAAAATAATAAAAAAGCCAGGCATGGTGGCTCATATCTGAGCCATGGTGGTGAGAAATTGAGTGTGATAGGGGAAAGGGTGGGAAGCAAACTTCTATTAATAACTGGATACCTGTTTGTATTTTTTTTTGCGGGGGGATGGAGTCTAACTCTGTCGCCCAGGCTGGAATGCAGGGTGCAATCTCGGTTCATTGCAACTCACTTGAACTCCCAGATTCAAATGATAGTCTTGCCTCAGTCTCCTGAGTAGCTGGGATTACAGGCACCTGCCACCATGCCTGGCTAATTTTTGTATTTTTAGTAGAGATGGGGTTTCACCATGTTGGTCAGGCTGGTCTCGAACTGCTGACCTCGTGATCTGCCCACCTTGGCCTCCCAAAGTGCTGGGATTACAGGCATGAGCCACCGTGCCTGGCCCTGTTTGTATTTTTTTTTAAGTAGAAGCCATGCAATATATTGTCTATTCCACAAAAATAAATAAATAAATAAAAATATAAATAAATAAATAAATAAAAATAAAACTTAAAGAAAGATTAGGTGTAAACAGCATATACTAAAAAACTGAGTATTTTTACTCAAAGAAAACGAAAAATGGGATAAAGGAAATGACAGAGTAATAAATTAACAAAGATAAATTTAATCATTTAAGAATACTTGGTATTTGCAACGGACTTTGAAAGAAGAGAAACATGGATCAATGGTAACATTTTAAGAGAAGTAACATTTTAAGAGGAGGATATATGCAAAGTCATAGAAATGGGAAACAGCAAATTTTAACTAGCAAATTAATTTGGCTGGGTCACTGGGCTTGGTAAGGGAAATAAAAAGGAAAGATGAGCAGGTGCTTTGCAGGAGAATCAAGACTAACCTAAATGGCAATTTCATATGGTTCAACCCGATACCTCAGGCACATATTTACTTTCAACTTTCTTAATTTGGCCAATAGATATTTAATAAGTGCCTGTTATTCATCAGGTCGAGTGCTAGGTGCTGCATGTGTTCACAGTGGTAAACCAAATGGACATGATCCCTGTCCTAATAAAGCTTTTAGTCTAGTGGGCATTTCTGGGCCTCAGGAAAATGAGCAACCTTTATGATCCTTTTTGTTCCAAAATTCTGGCTATATATTCAGTCTGACATTCTCTGAAAATCCCTAACCCTTTGTCTATTCTTACCATCATCTATGTAAAATTCAAGGTATTCTTTAAACTCTTTGAACTCCCTCTTCCTCACCTTTCTCTCTTATCGATATACAGTAGGGATTGAGACCATGGACTTAAAGACCAGATGCCTGGGTTTGAAATATTACTTATATTTTTCTGTGTGATGTGGACAATTAACTTTCTGTGTCTCAGTTTCTTCACTTATAAAATGGGGATAATAATGTACCTTATAAGGTTTCTCATAATAAATGAGTTATTACATACAAAGTGCTTAGAATACTCTGACACATGGTAAATTTTAAATAAATATTAGCAATTATTGCTATTAACAGAAGATTTTGCTTATATCATTCTTTCCCTCCAGGGTTAACACTCTCTACTACCTGTATCCCACCCCTTTCTACCTGGTGGTCTTTTTATAGATTCTCCCATTTTCCCCACAGTATATTGAACAAACTGTCTCTTTACTGGCCCTTTTTCTAGAATTATAAACATGATCAAGTTCCTTCCACAAAATTCATCTTTGTGAACCTCTCTTCCTTCCTATGAAAGTTCACACTGTTGTTTCCATGTTCTCCTGTTCTCTTCTCAACCTACCACAATTTTTGACTTGATCCCATAACTCCACTAAATTGCTTTTACCTAGGTCAATTACAACGTTCTTCTTGATAACTCTTGTGTCATCCCGTTGAACCCCATAACTTCCTGTTCACCCTTCTTAAAATTATAATTTCTTCAACACTTCCTATTCCCTCTAACATAGTGTACTTTTTAGTCATTCTTTCACGTCTGTTTTCCCTGGTTGGAAGATAAAATCAGGAAGTGATATGTACAGGAGGTAGGGAGATACTGGGTACAAGGGGGCGGTTCCTTGGCAAAGACCCCACCCTCAAGTCTGGAAACCCATGGCCCTAAATGGGAACAGGCATTTCTGTTTTCAGGCCCAAATGTTGCCTTTTGGTCTGCCACACCCCCCTCTCCTGTACCCAAATAAACCCTAAACCCTGGGCTCCATGAGCAGAAGAACAGAGGAGTCAGAAGGGCAGTGCAGCAAAGAAGGAGAGATGAGGAGTGTGTGAACATTGAGAGGAGTTCGGCTGGGGACGGTTGGAGAGATCGGTGACGGGATGGCCAAACTCTAGGGGAAGGTCATCTTCCCACTCCATTCCCTTTCCAGCTCCCCAATTATCCTGCTGAGTGCTACCTCCATCTGGCAATAAAATCCCCTACATTTACCATCCTTCAATTTGTCTGTATGACCTGATTCTTCCTGGACGCTGGACAAGAACCCAGGTATCAAGAGGGCACTGAGCTGGTTAACACTTAAGCTGTCTGTGGAGAGCACAGCTGAAAGAGCACCATAACACGCCCACTGGGGCTTCAGGAATTGCAGGCACTCACCCCTAGATGCTACCATGGGGCCGGAGCCAAAAGCACTCTCATTGGCTCCTGCACCTGCCCATCTACATGCTCCCCCTTCTTGCAAGGGGTTTGAGCACGACAAGCCACATCCCTGTCACACATCCTGCGAAGGGGGTCAGGGAACTCTCATGTTTCAGGACAGTGATTTTGTCCACGTTGTTCACTACTGTATCCTTAGCATCTAGAATAATGTCTGGCACATCCTAGACTGTCACAAAATATTTGCTGAATAAATACTGAATTGTGATGATCTGTTTTCTTGTCTTCTAAATTAGAGCAGGAACTCCTTTGAAGACTGGAACTGCTGTTCTTATCTCTTTATTAGTCCTTTTGGCTCAGTGTCTGGCTGCAGGTGAATGTGACAGTGATGAGTGCATGGGGAGTCATTATGGTACCAGTATTTTTTTATTTCAATAGTGTTTGGGGTACAGGTGGTTTTTGGGTGCAGGGATAGGTTCTTTAGTGGTGAATTCTGAGATTTTAGTGCACCTGTCACCTGAGCAGTGTACACTGTACTCAAAATGTAGTCTTTTATCCCTCACCCTTCTTCCAACCTCCCACCTCAAGTCCCCAAAGTCCATCATATCACTCTGCATGTGTTTGCATCCTCATAGTTTAGCTCCCACTTATAAATGAGAACACACGGTATTTGGCTTTTCACTCCTGAGTTACTTCACTTGGTACCAGCACTTTTGTAAATGCTTCTGGATGATACTCAAAGGCCTGAGAAAGTAGTTTTTAAATTCTACTCTACTTTTTAGATCTCCAAAGAGGTGATATTAGGATTTTGCAAGCAATGGTGATTTAAGTTGCCTAAAAAAACTGTTTATCCTTTTAAATTCTATTATTTATTGAGATTTCTTTGAAATAATTCTATGCTAAAGTAAGTTTGAAATTATAGGTTTAAATTAAAGACGGGAAGGAAAGAAGTACAAAGAAAGAACAGAAGGCATAGTTCTCAACACTGAGTGCATATTACAATCATTTAGGGGAGTTTCTATACTGATATCAGGAGGGCACGCCCCCAGTATTATTTAGGGCTAGGGGCTGAGCATAGACATATATACATATTTTAACTCTTTACATGATTCTAATGTGCAACCAGGGTTGAGAACCACTGGGATAGGTAATTCTTGAGGAATAGGGAAGGCTACAAGGGAAAATAAAAGCAAATGCAGTGAGAGAGGCAGACTGTCCCCAACAATTGCTTAAGGTCCTCTTTAGTAATACGGGACCATAAACAGTCCCTGTTATTGTTATTTTGTAGTTGTGACCAGTAATTGGATCCAGCCACTTGAGGGGACATAAGAGTGAGACCAAGTACTTAATGGTTAGTTTATGGGACACTAATAACAACCTCAAAAGTAAAAAAAAAAAAATCCTTCCTTGAAGCTTTCTAAAAGGTTAATTATCAACCAGTTCTTTCAACCCTTAAATTACTTTCTGAGAGTAAATTAGAAAGAGGCGCATGAATTCTATTAGGAGATTATGGTACCACTGTAGATTAATTCTTCTTATTAAACAGTATCCTGTTGTTCATTTTTCACCACAAAGAGGCTAACTTAATCCTTATTCTGAGCTTGGATATTGAGCAATTCTGGATAATTGCATGTAGAATGATAACCTTTATAACAGGCACAATTCAATGCAAAGAAAAATTTGTTCTTGGAATGCAATTTGAAATTCATAGAGCGAAACTTAATATCTTGGAAAGAGAGTATATGAGTTTCATGGTATAGTATTATTATTCCTAAGGGAAATTTCCAATATTCTGTGATTCAATATAGCCACAGGATAAACAAATTTTACTGGCACTACCTCAGGCATGCTAACAACTTAGCCACATTTGACCCATTTGAAGATAAGTATGGTTAATCAAAGGTTAAATAATTTTGGTCACAGGCACCTTGTTTTGTTAATATTCAATACATTTCAATTGCAAAAACTCTCCATATAAAAAGGACATGTTATAATCCAATTCTTTGTAAAGAGTAAGGCTATTTTCATGGGATATATTGGAAGTTTTTTTTTCCTTCAAATTAACTGTTTTTGGTGAGTAAATTTGAGGAAATGGTTTATACAAGAATTGCCTTTTAAGTTCCAAAACAAAAGCATTAAACACAAGTTGACTTTAACAGAAATGGATGTTGCATTATTTCTTTTGCAAGGGCCTGTATGTTTTATTTTGTAATGATTTATGTTCCCTGATATGCTTTATCTCATGCTTGACTGATTACAAGTGTGAAGGAGGGTTAAATGTATTTGCTGCTGGCAATTTAGCATTAATTGTAATACGCCGTAATCCAAATTACAATCTGTCATTTCCAGTCAAATTGTGAAACACTGTAATTGTATTTTAGAGTTCTACTGCCATTGATTATAGCTACCTCATTTGTGTTTTAATATACCATGACGAATTTGTGAATGGAAATACAATCTTGTAACAATCCAGGAAACAAGTATTGTTCTTTCTTCCTATTATAACGGCAATAGAATTATTTCTTAACAAATGAAAGGAGAAGGTGATGATAAGACAGTAAAGAGAATTCATTTAAAAATGAAAAAGACACAAAAAGATTTCAATTTTCTAGCAATGCGTAAACATAAGCCATGAATTTTCTGAAAGCATTTTGAAACAAAATATTACAAAAATATTTTTAAAATTAACTTTATTTTTGAAATCTATTCATACTCATACAAATTGCTCTTGTTCATTCGACAGCCATATAATATTCTGCAGCTTATTTATTTCCATTCTTTCCTTGATGGTCATTCAGATTGTTTATAAGATTTTATTATTACAAATAATGCTTCAGTGGATATTCTTGTACATCACCCTTCATGGATATAGAACACTCACTAGGGAATATACTTACAAGTGGTCATTCTGGGTTGTAGAGTATACACATCCTCTGTTTTACTTGTTGTTGCCAATTGGTTTCTCAAAATTGTTATACCAACTTATACTTCTGTTATAGGTAGATAGATAGACATGAGCAGGGCAGGAGAGGGCTTTCCCCCCGCCCACTAGAAATGCTGGGTGATGGTTTGGTAATTATCATATTGCCTCTCTAAAAATAATAATTCAGCAGCCAGGGAGAGACAATCCTCTGATGGTCCAAACCTGTTAACATTAAAATTGTTAATTGAATGCAGGTCCCAGGGAGAAATTGCTTATTGGGCATGCGAGTTAAGAGACACAATGGTAAAGTATGATGTTCCGGGGGCACCTGCTACCTGAAAAAGGAAAAAAGCCTCAGATGGGCATGCGTATAGCTCCCTAAATACATTGTGGCATGCTCAATTCCAAAGGGTAAGGAAAGCACAGCATGCGGGAAGCCCACCCTAGGGGAAGAATTTGGGGAAAGAGACAAGCCTAGAAAGTCCTCGGATCAAGGTTACAGGCCCTTTTTTTCCTGCTGTCTTCTCCTCTCTCTTGGACCTTCAGGTGCCACGTGGGTCTCTCCCAAGAGAATTTTCCTTTCTTTCCTGTTCTAAAGCCTTTTAAAATAAATTTCCACTCCTGCTCTGAAACTTGCCTGGGTCTCTTTTTCTGTTTTATGTCCTTCAGTTGAATTCTTTCTTCTGAGGAGGCAAGGGCTGAAGTTGCTATGGACTGGTAGGTATATGGCACCAGTAACTGGAGGTTTCTTGGATCTCTTCCACTGCTAACACTTCAGTTGGAAGTATCATTCACTTCTCTACATCCTTGCTTTAGTCAGATTTAAAAATGTTGCCTATTTGATGGATGCAAATGGCATCTAATTTTGGGCTTAATTTCTTTTGCCTAGTTACTAATGAGTATGAATGCATTTTCATACATTTATTGGCCATTTGGATCTCCTGTGAATTGCCTATTTATATTTTTCCCATTTTTTTCTGTTAAATTGTTTATCTTTTTAATTGGTGAGAGTCTGTTATACAGACTCATTGGTTATGTGTATTTCAATTGTATATCTATTCATTCAAATCATCTATCCTGCTTACTACTGTCTGCCAGGCACCGATTTAGATGCCAGCGACACAGCAATTACAGAAAACAAACGAACAGACAAAATCTCTGCCCGTATGCAGTCTTTAATGTCAATGAAGTGAAAAACTGTAAGCAAATAGAAATACAATATGTCAGATAAGTGATATGAAGAAAAATCAACCAGATTAAAGGCAATTCCAAGTGGTAAAGTTTCCCCTGAATACAGTAAGAGAATTAGCTATTCTATCTGAGGGAAGAGGCTTATAGGCAGAAGGAACACCAAGTTTCAAGGCAAGAGTTGGGACCATACTTGAAATATTTGAGGAACAATGTGGTTTTCAACCAGAAAACAAGAGGAAGAGTGATAGGAGATGAATTTGGAGAGAGAGATCATTTAAGACCATAGTAAGAATTTAGGGCTTTATTTAAGTAGAATGGGAAGTCTTTGGAGATTTTTGAGCAAAGGCATTACAATATTTTAAAAGGACCACTCTGGCCATATGTGGAAAATAGACTTTAGGTAGGCAAACCTGAAAACAAAGCAGCAACAGCTGTAGTACAGGTGAGATATTATGGTGCTTTGGATTAGGATGCTGGTGATAGAAGTGGTGATTCCGAATATATTTGGTAGTAGAGATGATATTTTCTGATTAGAGGATAAGGATTAGGACATGAGAGAAACAGAAATTTAGGATGACTACAAGGTTTTTGGCCTGAGCAATGGAGTGAATGTTAGCTCTGGAAATAAACCTTATTTCATTAATGTGAAGACATACATATGTTCCTAGAAGTTAGGAGGCATCTTCTGATTATAAATCACCATCATTGAGATAGTAATGTAATTTCATTGACTATTTATAAATTGGTCATAGTTGCTATATTGTCATCATTTCAACTGAATTGTGTATATTGTTGGTATTACACATGTTGATTTTAATTGCCACTAAGTAGATTTTTAAAAGTACACTATGATTCATCAGTGAAACTAAAATTCATTTGCTATTTAGAAAAGCCTCAAACAAATCAATGAAGCAAAAAATCAATATCATTGAATAGATATTTGCTCTTAGAGGATCAATCATAATTCCATATTTTTCCACAAAGCAACAACTAGGGACTTTACGGTGATCTCAGAGATCAAGATACCCACAAGTGGATGAAGCTATGCGCTGAAATATGTGCACTGAGATACGTGTCCAATTGCCTATCACATGCCAAGTCATACAGCTGAAGGTGGGAGAAATTAACAAATTGCCTGGAGCAGATGAGGGAAATGTCAAAATAACATAAAGATGGTGTAATTGATTTACTCATCATGCAGAATTATCATTAAGGCATTAAGTTAATAATTGGCAGCATTTTTTCCTTTTCTAGTTTTAAGTAAAGTAATGGTGAGGTTTAACAACTGATGACTTCTTACATTTGATAAGATGCACTACACTTAGGAAATTTCAGAATGTACAGATAGTCTAGTCATAGGACTAGATGAGATTCCCTTAGAAAGGAATGTAGTTAGAAAAGAGCACTAGAGATTCACTGGGAAGCTCCAGCATTTGGACATTGGGAAAAGGAGTGCATCTGCTGAAGATAGTAAAGGAATGGGTAGTTGGGTGGGAAGAAAAATGGGAGAGTGGGGTGCTCTGGGAAGCCAAAAGAAGACAGTGTTTCAAGGAGAAAGGAATAATCAATTGAACCAAATGTTATTGATAGGTTGAGTAACATGAGGATTGAGAACTGGCCACTTAATTTGGCAATATGGAAGTTATTGATGAATTTGACAAAAGTGAAACAAAGCCTGGGTTGGGAGAGAGCATGGCAAATTCAAGGTTTCTGTATCTGAGAAACCAGATCTTATGAACTTACCACTTTTAAATTTTACTAATCAAGATCTCTCAGGGTCGAAATAGGTCCCAGAGATCATAACCCTTAATATTCTATATCTGAATTAGTCTGGAATATTTGATTTGCTCTGAATCTAACCACTCCAGAGTTTTCCTGGGTCCACTGCTGCTCATGTTCTGTTACAATGGCTATTTAGTAGAACTTTTCTGGAAATAGGACATTCATACTATTAATTTGGACAACCTGAAAAATATTTCCTGCTTAATTAATTTTAATATTTAGGGCACATTCAAGGATATTATTTGTAAATAAAAGGAAACACCAAGTAAATGAAACACTGTACCTAAAATAGCCTTGTTCCTCTTCATATTCGGAGTACATAAGATGTAGGGGTGAAAATAGAGGAGCGTGTTGCTCTGCATAAAACTGAGGATAATCTTTCAAAAGCCGTGGCAACTCTTTTCCTCTTCTTAAAATAGCCAAAAATATAGGTAAGGAGGTTTTAACATTTTGAGGTTTCATAATCATGTTATATTATCTTAGGGATTGTCCCAATGAGTCACCTTCATCAAGACAGGTTTATCAAGCTAGATCATGGTGCTAGAATATTATGCCTAGGATCTGGGCAAGGTACAGAAGGAAATGAAAGGATATAATTCTTCAAATAGCATATGGGCTGAATTACAGAGCTTCCTTTTGGTAGATAAATGATGTATAAAAACGACATCACATGAAGGTTACTACCCTCTAATTCCGTGTGCAAAGGCTCCAATTTCCTGATTCATCATTATGACTAGAATTATGAAAACATTCAGATCATGTTTTTACTTAGCCAAGTTTTTAATCAGTCCTATGAAAAATGTGACTGTGACTACAGAAACAAGAAAAATGGTTGAAGATTAATAGATTATGTGTTTTAACATTAGTATCATTTATTCAAAACCTAACACATAATGTTTGTGGAAAACCCCTTTTTGTGAGTAACAACAGGTCAATTAGTAAAATAATAACAACAGCAACAAAATTTTGTTATTTAGGTTTCATTAGAAGAAGACAAATTTAGAAAACTTCATTATGTATTAGAGTTGTAATAAACAAAAATAACTTAATAAAAATATATTCAGTTTACTGAAGGCCCCAGTGGAAGAAGTATTTATAATTTTATGATCAACATTAATTGAATGCTATGTAAACACAATGCTAGGCATTAGCGGTATTAAACATTTTTCTACTATCAGCTGGGTGTGGTGGCTCACGCCTGTAATCTCAGCACTTTGGGAGGCCGAGGCGGGTGGATTGCTTGAGGCCAGGAGTTGGAGACCAGCCTGGGCAACATGATGAAACCCCATCTCTACTAAAATTACAAAAATTAGCCTGGCACGTTGGGCACACCTGTAATCCCAGCTACTCGGAAGGATGAGGCAGGAGAATCGCTTGAACCAAGGGGGCGAAGGTTGCAGTGAGCAGAGATCTTGCCACTGTATTCTAACCTAGGCAACAGAGCAAGACTCTGTCTAAAAAAAAAAAAAAAATTCTACTATTGAATGGTTTACAAACTGAATAAAATTTAAATATTTTAGACATGTATCTCATTTGGCAAGTGCAATAAAACTCAAAGTTTGAAAGAGGTGGTTCTTTTTCTACTTAGTGATCAAGGTATTTATGAGCTTTGAAACCAACTTATGAGAGGTGATATTGTTGCTCTCCTTATGATACTGAAACAGCAACCTAACAAGATTGCTCATGTCCACTAACAGGAAAAAAAAATTTCCACACCAATCTATAAGAAATGATAATATTCAATAGAATTTCTATGAGAACAATCTTTACCTACTGCTATGGAGTGATCTCCAGGATATATTATTAAGTGAAAAAGGGCAAGTTTTAGAATTGTACTTATAGCATGTTTTATTTTCTCATTTTATTATCATATTATTTATTTATTTATTTATTTATTTATTTATTTTTGAGACGGAGTTTCACTCTTGCTGCCCAGGCTGGAGGGCAATGGCGTGACCTCAGCACACGGCAACCTCCATCTCCTGGGTTCAAGTGATTCTCCTGCCTCAGCCTCCCAAGTAGCTGGGATTACAGGCGCCCGCCATCACGCCTGGCTAATTTTTGTATTTTTAGTAGAGACGGGTTTCACCATATTGACCAGACTGGTTTGGAACTCCTGACCTCAAGTGATCTGCCCACCTCAGCCTCCCAAAGTGCTGGGATTACAGGCGTGAGCCACCGCACCCAACCTATTTTATTATTATTTTTTTAAGACAAGAGTTTTGCTCTGTTGCCCGGGCTGGGGTGTAATGGCGTGATCATGGCTCACTGCAGCCTCTGCCTCCTGGGTTTAAGTGATTCTCCTGCCTCAGCCTCCCGAGTAGGTGGGATTACAGGCTCACCCACCACTCCCAGCTAATTTTTTTATTTTTAGTGGAGACGGGGTTTCACCATGTTGGCCAGGTTGGTTTCGAACTCCTGATCTCAAATGATCCGCCTGCCTTGGCCTCCCAAAGTACTGGGATTACAGGCATGAGCCACTATGCCCAGCCTATTTTCTCATTTAAAAAAAAGGAGCCAAAATCAAACATTTAAAAATGTTTATCTATAAAAGAAATAAGAGAACAGAAATAGAAGTTAGAATGTTTTTAGTATGTCCTGATTTGTAAATAGTAATTTAAGATTATATAAATCATTTACACAATTATTAAACAAAAATACAGATGAAATAATACCCAATACCCACATTGAAAGGAAAATGAAACAAATGAAGAGAAGACATAAACATGGTAATTTGATTGTACTTCCCTAGTGGAATAATTCAAAAAAGACTTACTGTTTTTAGAGGTGGTGACACTATTCTCTTAAACTAGTATGTATTTTAGAGGACATATAAGAATATAAGTAATTATGGTAATGATGTTAGGAGCCAAGATTTTTATTATAGGATAAAGATATAAATATAAAATCCAGTAAGTTCAGTAGAAACCTTGTAATCCTAAATTTAAATGCGAAATGTCAGTGTGAACTCATAATGTTCTTTTCAAAAATTAGCAAGGCATGGTGGCACGTGCCTGTAGTCCTAGTTACTCGGGAGGCTGAGGCAGAAGAATAGCTTGAACCGAGAGGTGGAAGTTGCCCTGAGCCGAGATCGCACCACTGCACTCCAGCCTGGGTGACAGAGCGAGACTCTGTCCAAAAAAAAAAAAAAAATTCCTACCTCTGTCTGTTTAAGAGGCCTAGAAATTATCTTGACCAACTAAATAACAATGCATACTTATTGCACCCAGCTTACAGTCTTTAAATATTGTTCTACTCTGAAATGAACCCAGGGTCCTTGGAAAAAATGCTGATTCCAGGTTTAGGTTAGGGGTGAGCCTTGAACATCTTGACATCCGGAAAGCAAGGAAGCTACCAATAACTAGTTAAGGTTATGTCAGAAGGCAGAGACCAACTTGAAGGGACTCATTGGCCAAGATGGGGCAATCCAAGCTTTGAAAGAATAACTGCAATGGATTTGAATGCATCTGATCTGTTAAAGTTTGTGAGTTAATAATAACAGAAAACAGGGGGAAAAACCCTCACTGTCATCTTTTTAAGATAGCAGGGAAATAACTCATTATTCTGAAGATTGGTTAATAGAGTAAAAGAGTCAAGCCTTTCTCGAGCAAGCTATACTTCAAAGGATCTAAACAGTTGGTGAGGGAAAATTTTTGGCTCACTGCAACCTCTGCCTCCCAGGTGCAAGTGATTCTCCTGCCTCAGACTCCTGAGTAGCTGGGACTACAGGAACGTGAGGGAAAGTGTTTTTATTGAAGAATTTCAGCTATTAAATAATGAAGGAATGACAGAGTAGCACCAATTTGCAACTGCTAATGAAATAATAGCTTCAGACAGTTATCATCAATGGCTGCCAGAACTGTTAGATGAAAGGTGATGGAGAACTTTATAATAAATAGATAAGGGTAACAACAACTGAAACCAGCAATCTTAATTTCACACAAAAAGAGACAAGTAGACATATATGCCTCTTGATAGATATACAGAAAAACTAGGTATGGCGTATCCTCACCAAAAATTCAAACCTAAATCTGAACAAGCCTCTCTATGTATTCACCAGTTACACTAAGTTTAGGGGATAGATAACACATTATAAGTATGCAAGTAGTAAAATCCAGATGTGGAAGACTCTACCAGGTAAATGTCTTGGTTTCTTCAATAAATAAATAGTAAGAAAAAAAAATAAAGAGGGAGGAGGAACCTATAGGTTAAAAGAGATTTAAGAGACATAAACACATGCAAAATATGGACCAAATGATGAACATGGGGAATTTGAAAGTTGACTGGATATTATTATGAAGGATTTATTACTGTTTAGGTATGATAATAACATTGTAGTTATGTTAATACAATAATTCTTAAATGTTTTGCATTGCTCAAAGAACAACAACAACAATAAAAATCTAGTAATTAATGGGTCATAGAAGAAACGGCATCCCATTTTTGGGTCTGATCAAAGTGGTAGTTATAAATTAAAGCTGTGCAATGTGCAGCAGGCAGTACATGTGCAAATTTCACAATAATGTAAAATTCACCATTAGTATTCAAAGTCACAAATAATAAGTATCACTAATATGTTGGCTACATTTGCTCACTGTACAGTTATGGCACAGACAATTTTTTTTTTTTTTTTTGAGGCAGAATCTTGCTCTGTTGCCCAAGGCTGGAGTGCAGTGGTGCTATCTCCACTCACTGCAACCTCCGCCTCCCGAGTTCAAGCAATTCTTGTGCCTCAGCCTCCCGAGTAGCTGAGATTACAGGCGCCTGCTACCACACTCGGCTAAATTTTGTATTTTCAGTAGAGATGGGGTTTCACCGTGTTGAATTTAGCTAGGTAAATTTAGCTACTTTTATTCATTCAATCATTCTGTAAATATTTACTGAGTGCCTTTATTGGTTTAGACATTGCAGATTCAGTGGTGAGAAAGACAAAGTTTCTGCCCTTTGAAAGCATACAATTCTAATGTGGAAAGGCAGAAATTAACAAATCAACAAACAAGGTAATCTGAGAGTATGATAAGTGCTAGGAAGTACTCCTGACCTCAGGTGATCCACCCACCTTGCCTCCCAAAGTGCTGGGATTACAGACGTGAGCCACTGTGCCCGGCCCCTGGCAGAGACAATTTTTATAGTTCAACTTGTACAAACAAGAAGAACCTCAGACTGAAGCATCACCATGGAATAGAATAACATGAATTTTGTGTAATGCCTGTCCATCTCAAATTCTCCTCTTTTCCATGATATATGTTACTCTGGTACATGATCCTTGATCACTGACTGATTTGCTGTGGTATTTCTGGTACCATTCTTCCACTCTCATGCTTCAGTGGTAATTCTAGTTTTCAAAATACAATTGTCTTTTGGATTCTCTCTTTGCTTCTCATATTTGTTTCCATTCAACATTTTTTGTTTTGTTTTGTTTTGTTTTGTTTTTGTTTCTGTCACTCAGGCTGAAGTGCAGTGGCACAATCATAGCTCACTGCAGCCTTGACCTCCTGGGCTCAACTGATCCTCCCACCTCAGCCTCCCCAGTAGCTGGGAGTACGGGAACAAGCCTCCACGCTGGGCTATTTGCGTGTGAAGAGCCCAGACTGGTCTTCGTCTCCTGGCCTCAAGTGATCCTCCCACCTCAGCCCCTCAAAGTGCTGGGATTATAGGTGTGAGCCACCATGCCTGACCTATTCATCATTTTTTATGATATTTCTAGGTAAATTTAGCTACTTTTATTCATTCAATCATTCTATAAATATTTACTGAGTGCCTTTATTGGTTTAGACATTGCAGATTCAGTGGTGAGAAAGACAAAGTTTCTGCCCTTTGAAAGCATACAATTCTAATGTGGAAAGGCAGAAATTAACAAATCAACAAACAAGGTAATCTGAGAGTATGATAAGTGCTAGGAAGTATAGGAAGAAAGTGTTAGCAAGTGCAAAATTTGTGGTGGGGGGCAGTTGTTTTTTAAATAGAGTGGTCAAGAAAGATTTCTCTGAGGGTATTAGCATTTAAGCTGAAGTTTTAATAATGAGAGAGAGCCTGTCATGAGATGAGCCAAAGAAGGAAAACTCCAGGTAGTACAAACATCAACTACAAAGACTTCAAGGTGGGAACAAATAACTGAAAGAATAACATAGAAATGGTAGGAAATTTTTAATTTATTCTAAGTGCAATACATAGCCACTGGAGGGTTTTAAGTAGGGGAAGATAATAATCTTGTTTATATTTTTAAAAGACCAGCTTTGCAGTTGTGTACAGAATGGATTGGATGGGAGCAAAAATACATTTTGGAGACAGGAAACAATTGCAGGCTTTCAGGCAAGAGATGTGAATGGCTTCAACTGGGATGGTAGCAGTGTAGATAGGGAGAAGTAAATAGAATCAAGACATATATTAGAGATAGATGTGATTTGATAATGGATTTGATTGGGGAAGGGGAGGGAAAAGGGTCCTCTATTTCCTAGAGAACTTCTAGGCTTTATTAAGTTGATGCACAGCAATATCCCTGTAGATGGAATTTTGTAACTTAGGACTTCATAGTACTTTAGGTTTGTGTTTACAGAACATGTTGTTGTAAAGGTTATTTCATGAAAAGGAAATTTTATTTTAATGATAAATTTGACTTATCCTAAAGTTGATTTACCCTACCAACATGTAGCAAGTGCTACAAAGAAGCTCCAGGACACTGAAATTCCTTCCAATAAAGGCAAAATGAACTATGAAGATAAAAAGGAAAGAACATTTCCCTGCTCCTCATCTGCCCTTTTCCTCTCACCACTTCATGTTTGACATTCACTGCAGATGTTTCACAATAATCATTCTCAAAGCTGTTGACAAAACCTGCAGTATTCCTTCAAGAAACCCAGAACACACTCCTTAGAAGAGAAAGCTTTGCAGTCTTATGAGGAAAAATCTTTTTTTTTTTTAAAAAAAACCTTGCATTCTATATGGATGAACTTGGAGGACATTATGTTAAGTGTAATAAGCCAGGCACAGAAAAATCGGCTGGGCATGGTGGCTCACGCCTGTAATCCCAGCACTTTGGGAGGCCGAGGTGGGTGCATCACCTGAAGTCAGGAGTTCAAGACCAGCCTGGCCAACATGGCGAAACTTCGTCTCTACTAAAAATACAAAAATTTGCTGGGTATAGTCGTGGGTGCCTGATGTCTCAGCTACTGAGGAGGCTGAGGCAGGAGGATCACCTGAGCCCAGGAGGCAGAGGTTGCAGTGAGCTGAGATTGTGTCCCTGCATTCCAGCCTTCCAGCCTGAATGAGAGTGACCCTGTCTCAAAAAAAAAAAAAAAAAAAAAAAAAGGAAAAGACCAGGCACGGTGGCTCACGCCTGTAATTCCAGCACTTTAGGAGGCTGAGGCAGGCCTTGTATTACATAGGTCAGGATCATGAAGTCAGGAGTTCGAGACCAGCCTGATCAACATGGTGAAACCCCGTCTCTACTAAAAATACAAAAATTAGTCAGGCATAGTAGTGGGCACCTGTAATCCCAGCTACTTGGGAGGCTGAGGCAGAATTGCCTGAACCCAGGAGGTGGAGGTTGCAGTGAGCTGAGATCATGCCACTGTACTCCAGCCTGGGCCACAAGAGCAAGACTCTGTCTCAAAAAAAAAAAAAAAAAGGGAAAAACAAATACTGTCTGATCTCACCACATGTAGAATCTAAAAAAGTTGAACTCATACAAGTAGAGAGAAGAATGGTAGTTACTAGGGTTTGGGGAAAGGGTACTGTGGAGATACTGGCCAAAGGGTATAAAATTCCAGTTAGATAGGACGAATAAGTTTAAGTGATCTATTGAACAACATTGTGACTATAATTAATAATGTAAGGTATTTTGAAAATGCCTGAGAGTAGATTTTAAGTGTTCTTACCACAAAAAAATAAGTATGTGAGATAATACATATGTTAATTAACTCAATTGAACCATTCCACAATGTACACATATTTCAAAACATCATGTTGTACACCATGAATATATACAACTTTTTGTTTCTCAATTAAAAAATAAACCAATTTCCTAAATAAATTTTTTAAAAGCTTGTGTTCTTACTCCCTTAGTTCGCCCATGTCCTGTCTTACTTTCTTTTATATCGTCTTGACTTTCAGAGATCAGAGAGAGTGTTCTAATTGCCTGCAAGCCTATGGAGGACAAGAAAACTGTCAGAAGGAAAAAGATTGACTACATTTCTCAGCAACTTTTCACATCAGGGAAAGCTAGTAGAGCACTATTAAACCAGCAAGGCTGTTAAACAGGGACTTGAAAGTTTACAAGGTACATTGGTGTATAAAGGATGCACAAACTGCCATAAAGTGGCTAAGATATACATTACCGTCACCTCTGGGCATCTGACAGATCCAAATGTAAGATTGCCGCAATCATTTCTGTTCTATAAAACTGGCATTTTAGTTCAAATGCCATTCTATAAAATGAGATTTTGCTATGAATTTTATGAGAAAATCTTAATGATACTAAGTGTTCCAAGTAGCAAAACTTTTAGAGAACTTGGCAAGTGAATAACTGTCCCTTTATTTCTGTTCAGTTGTCACCAAACTCTGGACATCACAAAGGATGATCACGAAAAGAAATCCATGAGCTGGGTGCAGTGGCTCACGCCTGTAATTCCAGCACTTTGGGAGGCCAAGGCGGGCAGATCACAAGGTCAGGAGATTGAGACCTTCCTGGCCAACATGGTGAAACCCCTTCTCTACTAACAATACAAAAAATTAGCCGGGCTTGGTGGCAGGTGTCTGTAATCCCAGCTACTCGGGAGGCTGAGGCAGGAGAATCACTCGAACGAGGGAGTCGGAGGCTGCAGTGAGCTGAGATCACGCCACTGCACTCCAGCCTGGTGACAGAGCAAGACTCCGTCTAAAAAAAAAAAAAAAGAAGAAAAAAAAAGGAATCAATGAAGAAAATCACAGAACAATGTAGTTCAGTGTTCTTATTTTATAAAATAAAAAACAAAGACCTAGAGAAATTAAGCTCTTTGGTCAAGCCTTCTTGGCTTTGATTCCCTATTCAAACCTTTTTTGAAGTAATACATAAAAACCTATGAATAGCCACCCTTCTAGGAGGTGGCAGAAGTGGAACTAGGTTTCAGATTTCCTTGTCCAAGAGTAAGACTCTTTGTATAACTTCATAGAAAACCACTCTGGCTGTTAAAGCTCCCATGCCCTAAAAGTAAAGAACTACACATCAATAATGAAATCTGTAGACTCTCCTGCTGTATTACACTCATAAATGAGTAGACAAATTCCATGGCCAAGAAATAACATGGCTGAAGCAAATGTAATTTGAGTTGTTTTATAATTTCCTTACTGTATTGCCTAGGATTCCTTGGTTCCAGTTGGAAAAAAATCTCAAACTCACTTAAAATATATATAATTTATAGGTTTATATAACTGAGAAGTCCAATGTCCCCAGGACCTTGCTCTATCTGCCAAGTCTACCCACCATTTGACTTTATTCTTGGACTCAGTAACGAGATAGTGGTTAGCAGTTCTGACCCAATATTCCAACAGACTCAAATCCAGCAGAGAAGGTGATGGATTTTCCTGGTTTCTGTTACATCAAGTCCCAATTTTGCCTCTGATTGGGCAAAATTGGTTATGACATGTCATTCCTCTATTCAAAATCCTCCAATAATAGCTCCTTGTCTTCCTGAGAATGAAAGCTGAAATTCCTATAGTGGCCTACAAGGTCCTACACAGTCTGGTCCCCAATATTCTCTGAAGAAACCTCCTTCTGTTCACCCCTTGCTCATTCTACTCAGTCACATTTGGTCACTTGCTATCACTTGGACACACCACACATAACCCCACTTTAGGCCTTTGCACTGACTTCCCTCTGTGTGGCATATTCTTTTTTTTTTTAATCCAAGGAAACATTTTATCCTGGAAATAAAGAATTTCCACATGCATAAAAGATCAGAAAACATCCACTAGGACAAGGTAGATCTAATGCTTTCTTACCAGGTGTCCTGGGAATTCTTTTGATTTTGCACCCCTCCACACACACCAAAGCTTTATTAAGGTGTACTTGACAAATAAAAATTGTATATAATCAAGGTGTGCAAGGTAATGATTTGATACATGTATACATTGAGAAATGATTACCACAATCAAGTTAATTAACATATCCTTCACCTGACATAGTTACTATCTCTCTCTGTGTGTGTGTGTGGTGAGGACACCTCATATCTACTCAGCAACTTTCAAGTATACAATGGAGTGCTATTGACTATAGTCACCATGCTGTACATTAGATCCCTAGAACTTATTCCTCTTATAACTGTAAGTTTGTACCCTTTGGCCAATATCTCTCCAACCCCACCCCCCACCCCTAGCCCCTAGAAATCACCATTCTACTCTTGGCTTCTATGAGTTTGACTTTTTTAGATTCCACGTGTATGTAAACCATGTAGTATTTGTCTTTCTGTGTTTGTCTTATTTCACTTAGCATAATGTCCTGCAGGTCCATTCATGTTGTTGCAAATGGCAGGATTTCCTTTTTTTTTTTTTAACGGCTGAATAACATTTCATTGTGTGTGTGTGCGTGTGTGTGTGTGTGTGTGTGTATCTATCTATCTATCTATCTATCTATCTATCTATCTATCTATCTATCATCTATCTATCTACCTGTCTGTCTATCATCTGTGTAGATGGATAGATATAACATTTTCATTATTCATTCATCTGTTGACAGAACTCTTAGGTTACTTTCATCTCTGGTTATTGTGAATAATGCTGCAGTGGACATGGGAGAGCAGATATCTCTTTGAGATACTGATTTCATTTTCTTTGATTATATTCCCAGAAGAGGGACTGCAAATTATATGGTAGTTCTATTTTTATTTTTTTGAGGAACCCATAATGTTTTCCATAATGGCTGTGCCAATTTACATTCCCACCAACAGTGTACAAAGATTCTTTTCCATTTTTTCATACCCTTGCCAACACTTGTTATCTCTGGGGTCTTTTTTTATCATAGCCATCCTAATAGGTGTGAGGATATACTCTTCTTCTAAATATCCATGTGACTGTATCTCACCTCCTTCAAGTCACTGCCCTAGGCACTTGAACATAAAATAGACACCTTTTCACTTTTCTTTATTGTCTTAGTCTTTCTTCCAGGCTCCTGTGTTCAATCCTCCAGACCCCATGCCTGTCAGATAGATTCTTGAATTTTGGTGAGTAGGTCAAGGAGTTTTTTTTCCTATATGTGTGTGTAATAGGCATGTTCATGAGCCACTGCCTAGCCTGGAGTCTTGAATTTGCTCAGTTCAAGGCCCCCTATACTTCTCATGACATTGTTAGGTATCTGGGTCATAAGGGAGGTCCTCGTATGGGATGGACTAAGAGCAGGACAAAATCAAATCATCTGACTCGGCAATCAGCCAGTGCTTCTCTATGTGGAGCATATCTCTCTACAAGGCTCAGACTGAAGACTGACTTCTCTAGGCTCTGGATACAGCAATGAGAGACTTTCACTCATCCACAGGCCAGGCTTTCAACAAAATAGCACACTTTACCTGGCACTTTTTAGGCAATGTAAGCCTTTTGTCTTGGGCAATTTTGTAGGATCTGTTTCCACATCTAACTATCTCCACCCATGTGTCCACTCACCTATACATCAGTTTTCACCTGAGTTCTTGCCACAAAACTTTCATATTTTTATCCTACATCACAAAATTCATATTTATTTATTTATTTATTTATTTATTTATTTATTTATTTTGAGATAGAGTCTTGCTCTGTCACCCAGGCTGGAGAGCAGTGGCATGATCTCGGCTCACTGCAATCTCCACCTCCCAGGTTCAAGTGATTCTCCTGCCTCAGCTTCCCAAGTAGCTGGGATTATAGGCACCTGCCACCACGCCTGGCTATTTTTTTGTATTTTTAGAAGAGACGGGGTTTCACCATATTGGCCAGGCTGGTCTCGAACTCCTGACCTCACGGTGATCCACTTGCCTCGGCCTCCCAAAGTGCTGGGATTACAGGCCTGAGCCACTGTGCCCGGCACTTGCAATATTTTTAAATATTTGGTTTTTATCTGTATTCTACAAATGGAAGGTAACATACCTTGTGAGATTTTTAAGTGTTCTTGGGCCAGGTGCAGTGGCTCCTGCCAGCACTTTGGAAGGCCAAGGTGGATGGATCACTTGAGGTCAAGAGTTTGAGACCAGCCCAGCCAGCATGGTGAAACCCCATCTCTACTAAAAATACAAAAATTAGCCGGGTGTGGTGGGGCAGGCCTGTAATCCCAGCTACTCAGGAGGCTGAGGCAGGAGAATTGCTTGAACCCGGGAGGTGGAGGCAGAGGTTGCAGTGAGCCAAGACTGGGCCACTGCACTCCAGCTTGGGTGACAGAGTGAGACTGTCTAAAAGAAAAAAAAGAACCAGATAGTTAAAAGATCTTTAGGGTTCTTTAAAGGCAGCATCCTCATGATGCTTTTTGCTCATTTGTCCTATTAGTAGTATTTACCCTACGTAGAAGAGTTGTCAAGAAATATCAACTTCCTCACGCATCAGACCGGGGGTAACACATTTTATCAGCAACACAATACATATTTTCCATTATTCTTTTACACTGGCATTTGTCAAAATGCATTTATGGGACTCTTGTCCTATGGGAAACCGAGAGATCTAAAGGCTAGTCCATGAAGCTACTCAGGAGAAATCCTGAGGAGGATTTCTCAGGACAATAATGTGCTAATTTTTATAGTAAATCTTTGGGAGAGTAATAGTATAATAAGAATTTCCCAAATTTATTTGACTACTAAACATTAGTGTTAGTGAAATACGTTATGAGAATATGTGTTTTCTCCAGATAAAGACTCAATTTTTAGGTAAAGTGCTTTGTACCTAACACTTAATGCTCAACATAATCCTGTTCATACAATAACTGTTTCTGTTAGTTGAGCTAATTCAATCTTGGCCATCATTACAAGTATGGATATTGAAAGGAAAAATTAAGGATTTGGAAGGGCTAGAATTAGGCCTGGAATTACCAGGTGCAATAAATGGCCATTCAGATTTAGTTCTAAAAAAAAAACTAAGGCTATAAACAGTTTTACTTATCATCAGGTTTTCCTAGACCTTACACAGTTATCCTCAAGCAACGAATAGCAAGGCACTTTTAGGACACAAAGAAATATTAGGAATTTCATTATACTTACACTTTAAAATAAAATTTGAAATATTTTTATAAACATTTTACAAAAAATATGTGTTACTTCTTTGGACTTAGTCCTATTTCTCTCAAGCTCTTAAAAGGGACTAATTCCAGATTTATTTGTACTTCGTTGGTTATTTTTTAGAAATAACTGGGAAATTTCACTCATTGAATCAAGAAAGATTAGGGATCCTTGCACTGCACAACTAGACACTGACTAAACCATACAATTTGAGGCACTGCCGATCACACAGAAGGTGCATGAGTTCTCCAGGAGCATCCACCTTCACAGACTAACAAACACACCTGAGTTGTGTTTACAGCAGCTAAGACAGGCTGGGTCTGGGGAATCAGGACTGCAGAAAAGAAAATCAAGATGCAGCAGCAGCAAGTCTGACCAGCAGGTAATCTACCTAAAAGAGCAAAAAGTTAAGGGCCATGGTTGCTGTGTCCATATACCAACATTGCTGTGGAATACTGAATCTGGGAATGCTGAACCACAGACTCTAGCACCAGCCCAAAATGCCAAGAGCAGCCTGTAAGTGCCCTGACTGTTGCACTCTAACTATAGGCAAAATTAACTTCCTGGAAGGAAGCTTTCTAAAGTTTCTTGTGAGATTACAAGGTATTTGCTATGGTCTGACTGTGCCCTCTGAAATTAATATATTGGAATTATATATACACACACACACACACACACACATATATATATGTACATTTATTTTTCTGAGACAGAGTCTTGCTCTGTCGCCCAGGCTGGAGTGCAATGGCATGATCTCGGCTCACTGCAACCTCCGCCTCCCGGGTTCAAACAATTGTCCTGCATCAGCCTCCTGAGTAGCTGGGATTACAGGTGCGCACCACCACGCCTGGCTATTTTTTTGTATTTTTAGTAGAGAAGGGGTTTCACCCTGTTGGTTAGGCTGGTCTCCAACTCCTGACTTCGTGATCTGCCCGCCTTGGCCTCATAAAGTGTTGAGATTACAGGCGTGAGCCACAGTGCCCATCCCAATATGTTGGAATACTAACCCCCAAGGTGACAGTGTTAGGAGGTGTTGCCTTTGGGAGGTGATTATATCATGAGGATGGAGCCCTCATGAATTCGGGATTAATGTTCTTATAAAAGAGGTGTGAGGGAACTTGTTTGCACCTTCTGCCATGTGAGATGCAGTGAAAAGGCACCATTTATGAGAAACAGTCCCTCACTGGATGCTGAATCTGCCCACCACCTTGATATTGGGTTTTCCAGGTCCCAGAGCTGTGAGAAATAAATGTTTTCGGTTTATAATCCCCCAGGTTATGGTATTTTTGTTATGGCGGCCAGAATAGACTAAGACAACATTTAACAATAGGTTCACAGACAGAAAATACCGAATACACTAAAAGTCAATCCATCTTCAGACAGAGAAATAACAGATTTAGACTCATAGATTTTTGTTGTTGGAACTGTCAGATACAGATTGTTGATTATTACTTAACAAATGTTTAAAAAATATAGAATGCAGTGACAATGATGAATGTTCATGAGAAATTATCTTATAAAAAATTTTAAAATTTTTAAATTAATATATATACCATTACAAACAAATGATATGTACATGAAAAATACATAATTGTTGAAATAAAAATCACAATGTATCACTTTTTTTAAAAGTAGGTGAGAAGAAACTTGACCTTCTGACATTTGTTTCCTCAGTCTATCAGAAGCTTTGTCTTCAAATGTGATGGTTTATATGCTCCTGAACTTACATTCTTATGAGTCAGGAGGCCAGCATCTTAACAGGGACACAGCCACCAGGAAGTTCAAACCAGAAATCTTGATGAATTCCTGGAGGCCAACAAGAGGCCAGCTCCAGAATGTGAAGCTGCTGGAGGGTCCCATAAAGGGAGGTCTCCCCCTACCCGCTCCACCCTGGGCTTTTCCTCCAGGAAACCCACGAGGCTCCCATAGGGTCAAAGGTTAAGAAGAATCTGGAGAGGCTGGGCACAGTGACTCACACCTGTAATCCCAGCACTTTGGGAGGCCGAGGCGGGCAGATCACGAGGTCAGGAGATTGAGACCTTCCTGGCTAACACGGTGAAACCCCGTCTCTACTAAAAATACAAAAAATTAGCCAGGCGTGGTGGCGGGTGCCTGTAGTCCCAGCTACTAAGGAGGCTGAGGCAGGAGAATGGTGTGAACCCGGGAGGCCGAGATTGTGCCACTGCACTCCAGCCTGGGCGCCAGAGCAAGACTCCGTCTCAAAAAAAAAAAAATAAAAGAGCAATCTGGAGAGGAAGGCTCCTGTGGCACTGACTCTGCGTTACTTTCAAATCATAAAATAATCAGAATATTTTAAAGACATTATACTTGGTGATTCTTTCTGTATCTTCTTTTATGAGGAGAATCAAGGGATTCAAGCCCCCAAATACTCATACCATTTATTCTATACAAATAAATCTGACTATTTCAATTGAAGAGTGGAATATCAGAGTAAAATATTCTAAATAACTGGTTTAGCTCTTCCCTTTAAAATGTAGATATCCATTAATGCTGTATTTGCTAAATATCTACTATATCAATATACTGCACTACAAACTGTGAGAATCAGAAACACCTTAGAGAGGCTCTGAAGAAGAACATCTAGAAACAGATTCAAGGGAAGTGCTACCACTTAACTGTTGTGTAACCTTTGGCAAATCAACTAATCTCTAACCTAGGTATATTGGTTTCTTCACCACTGAAAGCCAGGGATTGAGTTAGATGATTTTCTCATCCCTGTAGTAGATTGCAAAAATACCCACGCTTCTTCATGCCTTCCAACATGCATGCCTCTTTGCAAACTGATATTACAGCTTCCTGAATCAAGAGGTGACGTTTATTAATATTTCCTTACTCCTTGAACCAGGCAGTCCTTGTGACTTGCTTTGCCATATAGAATGTATCAGAAAGAATGAAGAGCACTAGAAAAGGTAAATATGTGGGGAAATTTGAAAGCCTTTAGGATCTTTATTTTTTATATCAAGAGTTTCACAAAAAGAGGAAATATATCCTTTTGAACTCCCCAAACATCACCAAACCTGTTACTAAAGAGCAAAGCTGGGCCGGGCATGGTGGCTCACGCCTGTAATCCCAGCACTTTGGGAGGCCGAGGCAGGTGGATCACTTGAGGTCAGGAGTTCAAGACCAGCCATGGCCAATATGGTGAAACCCAATCTCTACTAAAAATAGAAAAATTAGCTAGGCGTCGTGGCGGGCGCCTGTAGTCCCAGCTACTTGGGAGGCTGAAGCAGGAGAATTACTTGAACCTGAGAGGCAGAGGTTGCAGTGAGCTGAGATCACGCCATTGCACTGCAGTCTATGCAAAAAGAGCAAAACTCCATTTAAAAAAAAAAAAAAAAAAAAAAAAAAAAAAAATATATATATATATATATATATATATATATATATATATATGAGCAAAGCTGTTGCTAGAACTTACTGCAATAAAAGAGAACACTACCTTGACAGAATTTCAGCACTGTCTCAGAAGGGGAAGTCAGAAGTGGAATATTGATACAGTTTTTGAATCAAAGTCTTTCAAGGCAGGGAACTGATTGGGATTAGGCAAATTTGAGATATAATCATTTAGGATTGGTGTACACAGAGAAGAGAGGGTCTTGGAGTGACTCTTGATAAGTAAACTGTTGATGATACCGGCAAGCCAGTTGCCACAGTGAGCAGTCCATTGTCTCAGAAAAATTGATCTGTGGGAATTTTCTGAAGCAGTGAAGTTATTTATTGTTTACAACATAATGCTTTCCAGGTAAAATTTTCTTGAACAAACAGCTAAGTCAAGTTGATGTAGGTAATCTACAGTCTTATTGAAGATATTCTCAGTTCTTAATCTATTTCAACTGTATGGGCATATAGTTGTTGAAAAGTTGTTTTAATTATCTTTTTCATTTCCAAGGGTAACTAAAGTTATGTTTTCTTTCCCATTTGTTATAGTGCTTATTTGTGCTTTTTTCCCCTTGAAAAAATTTTTTAAATTTATTTTGTTAATATTTTTATAGGACCAATCTCTGAACTTACTTTTCTCTATTGTTTCTTAAGATTTTCTCTTTTATTGATTTCTGCTTTTATTTCACTATCTCCTTCCTTGTACTTTTTTGGGGGTTTATTCTGGTGTTCTTTTTCTAATTTTTTTAAGTTAAACTCATTAATAGTCTTCCTTTCTTCTTTTCTAACACAAACTTTTAAATCTATAAATTCCCAAAAAGTCCACTTTCGCTGCATCTCACAAGTTTTGGTATCATAGTGTTTTCATTTATTATCCAGTTCTAAGTATTTTTTAGTTTAGTATGATTTCTTCTTTGACCTATGAGTTATTTTGTGTGTTTTTAAATTTTTCATATTTTGAAACATTTTTAAATAATTTTAAAAAATGTACAGGGAGATCCCATGTAGCTTCAACCAGTTTTTCCCAGTGATAGCATCTTAGATAATGATAGTACAATATCAAAACCAAGAAATTAACATTTGTACAATCCAAAGAATTTACTCAGATTTTAAAAATTTTATATTCACTTACTTGTGTATGTTTGTGTGTGTGTGTAGTGTGTAGAGTATGCAATTTTATCACATATGTAGATTCATGTAACCATAGTTACAATTAAGATACAGAACTGTCCCATCACCACAAGGCTCCTTTGTGCTCTCCCTTTACGGCCACACCCACCCTCTTTTCCTTGATCCCCAATCCCTAACTCTTGGAACCACAAATCTGTTCTCTATGTCCATAATTTTGCTATTTTGAGAATATTATACAAATAGAATCATATAGCATGTAACCTTTGGGATTTTTTTTTTTTTCACTCAGGATCTTTCTCTTGAGATCTGTCCAAGTTGTTGCATGTAGCAACAGTTCATTCCTTTTTATTGCTGTGTGATATTCTGTGGTATGGATATACCACAGTTTATTTAATCATTCGTCTGTTAGAGGATGTTTGGGTTGTTTCAAGTTGTGGCTACTATAAGTAAGGTTTCCGTAAGTATTCATGATTAGCTTGTGTGTGAACATAGTTTTCATTTCTCTGAATAAACGCCCAAGGGTAAAATTGCTGGTTCACGTTGATGTTTAGTTCAGCAAGATGCTGCCAAACTATTTTCCAGAGTGGCTGTACCATGTTTCATTCTCACCACAATGTATTATTGATTCAGTTTCTTATATCCTTGCCAGCATTTGAGGTTATTATTGCTATTTTTGATTTTAGACATTCTGATAGTGTACAATTCAGTGTCATTAAGTGCAGTCACATTGTTGCGTAACCATATCCAGAACTTTTAAATTATCTCTAGAACTATTATCAATTTCTAGAACTTTTTCATTATCTCAAACTGAAATGATAGAGTTAAACAACAACTCTCCATGCACTGGTAACCACTATGCTTTCTGTCTCTATGAATTTGACTTTTCTATGCACCTCAGATAAGGAATCATACAATATTTTTACTTTCGTGTTTGGCTTCACTTAGCATAATTTTTTTTTATTTTTTGAGACAGAGTCTCACCCTCTCACCCAGGCTAGAGGGCAGTGGTGCGATTTTGGCTCACTGCAACCTCCGCCTCCTGGGTTCAAGTGATTCTCCTGCCTCAGCCTCCCGAGTAGCTGGGATTACAGGCACGCACCACCACGCCCAGCTAAAATTTTTTGTATCTTTTATAGAGACGGGGTTTCACCTTGTTGGCCAGGCTGGTCTCCAACTCCTGACCTCGTGATCTGCCCATGTCAGCCTCCCAAAGTGCTGGGATTACAGGCGTGAGCCACTGTGCCCGGTCAGCATAATGTTTTTAAGGTTAATCCATGTTGTAGAATGTATAAACATTTCATTCCTTTTAAAAGCTAAATAATATTCTGTTGCATGTGCATACTACGTTTTGCTTATCCATCTGTCAATGGTCACTTAGCTTACTTGCACATTTTAGCTATTGGGAATAGTGCTATGAACATAGGTATACGAATTATCCTGCTTTCAATTATTTTGGGTATATATTCAGAAGTGGAATTGCTGAATTATATGGTAATTCTAGTTTTAATTTTTGAGGAATCACCATACTGCTTTCCCCAGTGGCCATACCATTATTTTACATTCCCAGCAACACTGCCCAAGGGATCCCATTTCTTCACATCCTCACCAACACTTGATATTTTCTTTCTTTCTGTTTTTTTCTGGTAGTAGCAATTCTAATGGGTGATAATATCTCTAATGAGATAATATTTTGTTGAGGTTTTAATTTGCATTTCCTTAATGATTAGTAATGCTATCTTTTATATGCTTTTGGCTGTTTGTATATTTTCTTTGGAGAAACATATATTCAAATCCTTTGCCCATTTTTGAATGTTGGCTTGTTGTTGTTGATAAGTTTTAGGAGTTCTTTATATATCCTAGATATTAATTCCTTACCAAATATATGATTGCAAATATTTTCTCTCATTATGTAGGCTGCCTTTTAACTCTGTTGATAGTGTCTTTTGATGCACAAAAATTTTAAATTTTTATGATATCCAATTTGTGTATTTTTGCTTTTGTTGTCTGTGCCTTTGGTGTTATATCTAAGAAAACATTGCAAAATTCAATGTTGTGAAGCTTTTGCCCTATGTTTTCTTCTAAGAACTTTATAATTTTAGCTCCTGTGTTTAGACCTTTGATCCATTTTGAGTTAATTTTTTTAAATTTGTTTTATTTATTTATTTATTTTTTTGAGACGGAGTCTCCCTCTGTCGCCAGGCTGGAGTGCAGTGGCGCGATCTCGGCTCACCAAAACCTCCGCTTCCTGGGTTCAAGCGACTATCCTGCCTCAGCCTCTCAAGTAGCTGGGACTACAGGCACATGCCACCATGCCCAGCTAATTTTTGTATTTTTAGTAGAGATGGGGTTTCACTATGTTGGCCAGGCTGGTCTCAAACTCCTGACCTCATGATCCGCCTGCCTCGTCCTTGAAAGTGCTGGGAATTACAGGTGTGAGCCACCGCGCCCGGCCCATTTTGAGTTAATTTTTATATGATATAAGTTAAGGGCCCAATTTCATTCTTTGCATGTGGATAGCCAGTTTTTCCAGCATCATTTGTTGAAAAGATTGTTCTTTCCCCCACTGAATGGTATTGGGACCCTTGTCAAAAATCACTTGATCATATATGCAAAGGTCTATTTCTAGGCTATCTACTGTATTCCATTGGTCTATAGATCTGTCTTTATGCCAATTCTATGCTGGTTTGATTACTGTAGATTTGTACTGTGTTTTGAAATCAGAAAATGTGAGTCTTCCAACTTTGTTCTTCTTTTTCAAGATTGTATTGGTTATCTGGGGTCATTTGAGATGCCATATGAATTGTAGAATGGGTTTTTCTATTTCTGCCAAAAACATCATTGAAATTTTGATATGGATATGGATTACATTCAATCTGTAGTTTGTTTTGGGTGATATTGATATCTTAACAAATATTAAGTCTTCCAACCCATGAACACAGGATATCTTTCCATTTATTTACGTCTTTAATTTCTTTCAGCAACATTTTATAATTTCCAGTGTACAACTATTTTAAGTCTACTTTTAAGTTTTTATTTTATTTTATTTTATGTTTTGAGATGGCATCTCGCTCTGTTGCCACGCTGGAGTGCAGTGGCACGGTCTCAGCTCACCGCAACTTCCGCCTCCTGGGTTCAAGTGATTCTCCTGCCTCAGCCTCCCAAGTAGCTGGGATTACAGGCATGTGCCACCACACCTGGCTAATTTTTGTATTTTTAGTACAGATGGGGTTTCACCATGTTGGCCAGGCTGGTCTTGAACTCCTGACCTCGTGATCCACCCACCTCAGCCTCCCAAAGTGCTGGGATTACAGGCGTGAGCCACCGCACCCAGCCAAGTATTTTATTTTTTGATGCTATTGTGAATTGAATTGTTTTCTTAATTCCCTTTTCAGATTGTTCACTGATAGTGTATAGAAATGCAATTGATGTTTGAATGTTGATTTTGTATCCTCAAGCTTGCCAAATTTGTTTATTCTTTCTAACAGTAGTTGTGTGTGTGTGCAGTTAGGATTTTCTAAATATAAAATCATATAATGTTAAAACAGAGATAATTTTACTTCTTCCATTTAAATTTGGATACCCTTTATTTCATTTTCTTGCTTAATTCCTCTGACTAGAACTCCCAATACTATGTTGAATAGAAGAGGCAAAAGCGGGCATCCTTGTTTTGTTCTTGGTATCGGGGAACAGCTTTCAGACTTTTACTATCGAGTATGATATTAGCTATGGGTTTTTTCATATGTGGTCCTTATCATGTTGAAGTAGTTTTCATCTAGTCCTAGTTTGTTCAGTGTTTCTTTAAATCACAAAAGGATGTTTAAATTTGTCAAATGCTTTTTCTTTATCAATTAAAATGATAATGTGGTTTATTCATTCATTCTGTTAAAGTGGCTTCTTAATGTTGATTGATTTTTGTAGATTGAAACATTTTTGCATTTTTCCAAGAATAAATCCCACTTGATCATGGTGTATAATCCTTTTAATATGCTGCTGAATTTGGTTTGCTAGTATTTTCTGCAAACACTAGGATGTTTGCATCAATATTCATAAGTGATATTGATCCACAGTTTTCTTGTAGTATTTTTGGCTATGTGTATTAGGGTAATGCTGGCTTCATAGAATGAGTTTTGAGGTGTTCCCTCCTTTTTTATTTTTTGGAAGAGTTTGAAAAGAATCGATATTAGCACTTCCTTAAATGTTTGGTAGTGTTCTTCATCTGGTCCTGGGCTTTTCTTTGTTGGGAGGGTTTTGATTACTGGTTCAATCTCCTTACTAATTATAGGTCTATTCAGATTTTCTAGTTCTTCATGATTCAGTATTAGTAGTTTGTGTGTTTCTAGGAACTTGTCCATTTCATCCAGGTTATCCAATTTGTTGGCATACCATTTCATCCAGGTTATCCAATTTGTTGGCATACAATTGTTTATAGTACTCTCTTATCCTTTTCATTTCTGTAAAATCAGTAGTAATATCCATATTTTTATGTCTGATTTTAGTAATCTGAGCCTTCTCTATTTTTTCTTAGTCAATTACAGTTTTGTCAATGTTATTATTTTTAAAGAACCAACCCTTTGTTTCACTGATTTTCTCTATTGTTTTTCTATTTTCTATCTCTCTTCTGATCTTTATTATTTCTTTTCTTCTGCTAGCTTTGGGTTTAGTTTGCTCTTCTTTTTCTAGTTCCTTAGGTGTGAAGTTAAGTTGTTGAAACGGCTTATCTTTAAATTGAATTTTTATTTTATTTTTTATTATTATTTTTATTTTTTTTGAGACGGAGTCTGCCTCTGTTGCCCAGTCTGGAGTGCAGTGGTGTGGTCTCGGCTCACTGCAACCTCCGCCTCTGGATTCACGCCAATCTCCTGCCTCAGCCTCCTGATTAGCTGGGACTACAGGCGCCCGCCACCACGCCTGGCTAATTTTTTGTATTTTTAGTAGAGACGGGGTTTCACCATGTTAGCCAGGATGGTCTCCATCTCTCGACCTCATGATCTGCCAGCCTCGGCCTCCCAAAGTGCTGGGATTATAGGTGGGAGCCACCACGCCCGGCCTTGAATTTTGATTTTTATCAAGGGTTGTGTATGTTTGGGTGTGTGTATTTCACAGATTCTAAGACATACTTTTTCATGTTATAATCTTTGAAGTGCAGATTGTTTTACAATTGAAGTGAAAGAAAATATGTCTTCATTTAATTGGCAGAATTTTATTTCTTAGAATATCATTAAAATAATAGTATAATAAAATAATTATATACCTTTCAAGTGTGGCATCTTAGATTTGATACATACAACAGCTATATGAAGCTTATCATGAAACGGATCAGTCGCAAGCTTTTCCCTTTCCACTCTGGTTTCTGCTTATCAGGGGCAACCACTTATAAATTGTTTTGCTGCTAGTTCTACTTATCTCCAGACTTCCAAAGGACATCATCATACTTGTTATTTCTTGATTTCTCAATTGTCCATTGACAGTGGAAGATTATTTAGGCCTTTTATTTTCACAACCCTACTATATAGATGCATTCTCTCCTTTCAGTGTATTTGCTGTACATTTTTATCAGACCAATATTTGGTGTTTATGTCATTATGACTATGGTAATATTGTTCACAGCTGAGACTTGGTGCATATTACAAAAACATTCTTTTCTTTTTTGTTTTCCCTGTAGTTAAAGGTGTCTTGGTTTTGTTTTGCTCAGTTTTTGATGTACGTATCACCAATTCATCTATAGACTCCACCAAAAATGTAAATATTTCAGTATACTCAAATTAATTAAGTAATCTATGTCTATTTTCCCCCTTGGTGACATCCTTCTTGGAACCCCAAATTCCTGATCCAATTTGAACTAGCTTCTTTCTATGCCTGCTGCACAGCTATCACCCAAGGATTTCCCTCTGCTATTGTCTTTGGTGCAGAGAAAAGTTAAAATTTAATTCACCAATTTTCTTAACTTTTTTCCCTTATGTCTGTAACTTTGCCTTCTTGCTCTAATTTATGGAAAATTTTCTGTTTACCTTCCAGTCCATTTAGGAATTTTTCATATATATTATGTTTTTTGTTTGTTTGTTTTTTGAGGCAGAGTCTTGCTCTGTTGCCCGGGCTGGAGTGCAGTGGAGCAATTACAGCTCACTGCAACCTCCACCTCCTGAGTTCAAGTGATTCTCTTCCCTCAGTCACCCGAGTAGCTGGGATTACAGGTACGTGCCACCACACCCAGCTAATTTTTGTAGTTTTAGTAGAGTTGGGGTTTTGCCATGTTGGCCAGGCTGGTCTTGAACTCCTGACCTCAAGTGATCCGCCCACCTTGGCCTCTGAAAGTGCTAGAATTACAGGCATGAACCACTGCACCCAGCCTATTATCATTTTTTTTCAAGAGTCAAGGCAGAAGTTTATTAAAATTCATTTATATAGTGTTTTACAGAAAAAAGTCGTCTTCAACATTCAGGTAATGACTTCTATTTTCAGAAGCACTTCATGAGAAGATGAATTTCTTTGCCTTCCCCACAGTAAGATATTTCTGTTTATACTCCTAAAAATGGTGCATTTAATTACACCACCTGTGTAAGAACAATCCCTCTGTGATCCCAAAATCTCTGCAGAGAGTAAAAAGAGACAAACAGAACCTTTTCTAAAATGCAAGTCCTCATGACAGAAGTATAATGCAAGAGATTTATAAAATGGCAGCTCTTCAGGGGAGTGTGTGGGCACCCAGCAGGTAGGCCACTGGGCAGCCCCTAGCTGCAGAGTGTAACCAGCCAGGACTGCATGGGCTCCAGAGCCTCTTCTTCCTCCTTGTCCTCTGAGGCGGCCATCGCTCTTGAAGATTCTGGCTCTAGAAGGACAGCAGTCACTTTGCTTTGCCCAAGGCCCCTGCTGTAATTTCAGACGAGATCAGGTGCATTCAGGGTGGTATGGCCGTAGACCCCTGATATAATTTCAAACAGCATTTTGTCACTTTCCATTTCTGCTTCTTTCTCTATTTCTTACTGATCTTCTATGCTTTCAAAAGTGCCCTCTAACATCTCCTCTACGATCCCAGCCTTCAACATTTCTTTGGACAGCTCCTGCATGGTGGCCTGGACTTCTGTAATCTTCACAAGATTTAGCATCATATTTTTAATTTCTAACAGCTTACTTTTGTTCTCTGAATATTCTTGTTTCGTGGAAGCAAAATCTCCTCTTATCTCTCTAAAGACATTTATTGTAGTTAAAAAGCTTTCTTCTGTTCTCTGCATTGTTAATTTGCTTTGAATCACCTTTTTTGTTTGTTTTGGTCCCTGATTTTCAAATTAAAGATTTTCTTAAATGTAGAATGAACTATGGTTAGATGTTCATCTTTAATAGTTGGGCACCTCAACTTCTTCTGCCCTGAAAAAAAAAAGTTGGGTACTAGAGGCTGATTGGAAGTTTTGGATATAGAGGTGGGAACTTTGATCTTTACTGTAGGATGATGTGGTTGTATCATTTCACTCTCTCTCTCTTTTTTTTTTTGAGACAGTCTCGCTCTGTCACCCAGGCTGGAGTACAGTGGTGTGATCTCGGCTCACTGCAACGTCTGCCTCCCGGGTTCAAGCAATTCTCCTGCCTCAGCCTCCTGAGTAGCTGGGATTACAGGCACATACCACCACATCTGGTAAATTTTTGTATTTTTAGCAGAGACGGGGTTTCATCAGGTTGGTCAGGTGGGTCTTGAACTGCTGACCTCATGATTCGCCCGCCTCGGCCTCCCAAAGTGCTGGGATTACAGGTGTGTGCCCCGCAGCTGGCCAGTTGTGTAATTTCAATGAGGACACCCAACTGTTAGTAACTAAAGGTCTGATTTCCTCAGTTGGTCAATTTCTCCAGAAATGAATCTTGTAATCACTTGGCTGTCATTAAAATCCATGTTCTCTCCATGGTACTATCTTGATTAATTAAGCACTAAAAGTCTGTAGTCTAACTGTTATAAGAATTCAGGAGAGGTAGAGATCAATTAGTGGAAACGCTGGGGAAAACTTAATAGATGAAGTGGGACATGGGATAAGCTCAAAAGACAAATAGGCCAGCCAGAAACTGAGGTGAAAGAGAATCAAAGTGAACAGTAATTAAATGCTGTAGTTCAGAAATAGGAATAATCACTTTTAGCTGATAATGTAGCACAGCTAAATAAGACATGTATATGGAATGAAGTCTCTATTCAGCCATGAAGCAGCTTGTGACTTCTGCAAGGTATTACTCTAAGACATTCAATTTCTTCACTTGAAAAACTTGGGGAGATTATCTTCAAAGTCCTCCCTAGGCCTAAGGTTTCTTTATGGCATTTACTATTAAGATTCTTTTGCATTATGTAACTTTGCCAGTAATAAATTATAATTAGTGAGTGACTATATAGTTTATAGGAGTGAATCTAGGAGCTCTGAAATTACTGTCATGAAAACATTAATTTATAGGGAACTTAAGGACTTTATTTACATTAAATCTCATATGCTTTAAATCTCATATCTCCTACTGCTTTAAAACAATCTGTCCACTTGCTATATGTAAGTGTACTCTGATCATTCCCTCTAATAAAGTAAAAAATTAAAACCTGAAACTAACCCCTTCTGAAATCCTGACCTTGTTTTTTCCCTTTGCATATAGACAGAGGATATCATTGAAGAAGGAAAATAGGTCTATTTCCTCTATTAATGTATAACTGTGCCATTCCTAAATGGGAGAATTGATTCAAATTAATTTGTAACACATGATAGCAACACTTCCTTGAGAAACTGTTCTAGCTACATCTCTTGTTCAGCAAAGTGTACTAATTTTCAGAGAACAAAAGCAAAATAAAGTTTCACTTAAGACTATGCATCTCAAAGTTTAATGTACACACAAATCAGGGCTTTTGTTAAAATGCAGATTTTTCTGTAGTTCTGGGATGGGATCTGAGATTCTGCTTTGCTTTTCTTTTCTTTTTTGACAGAGTCTAGCTCTGTTGCCCAGGGTGGAGTGCAGTGGCATGATCTTGGCTCACGGCAACCTCCACCTCTGCCTCCCAGGTTCAAGTGATTCTCCTGGCTCAGCCTCCTGAGCAGCTGGGACTACAGGCATGCACCAACACGCCAGGCTAATTTTTGTATTTTTAGAAGAGACAGGGTTTTACCATGTTGGCCAGGCTGGTCTTGAACTGCTGGCCTCAAGTAATCCGCTTGCCTTGGCCTCCCAAAGTGCTGGGATTACACGCATGAGCCACCGTGCCCAGTTAGATTCTGCATTTCTAACAAGCTTTCAACTGATGCTGGTGCTGCTGGTCTGTACACATACACTTTGAGTAGTAAAGGCTTATACTTTTTTGATGTATGATTAGCTCACTCAAGTCAGAAGTCCAGTGGCAGTGGACACAGGGACTAGAGTTTAGGAAAGAGAGACTTGGGCTGGGAATATTTGGGAGTCATCAGTACATAGGAGATTTTGATGCCAGAATATGAGGATAACGGCCCAGGAATAGTGTTTGGAGAAAAAGGAAGAGAGGCCCAAGGCCAGCCCATGGGTAGCGCCATTATTTAAGGCACACTTGTAGGATGAAATTTAAGAAGGTCAAGAAGTAGCAGATGAACCTGAGATGCCAATGATGCTTTTCAATGAGAAGCCTGTAGTTCTCAAACTTATATTTTAAAATATAAGTAATAACTACATTTATTGAGCCTTTTATTCCTGGCACTGTGCTAAGGGCTTCAAATTTTCTCTAAAACACAGGGTGTAAGAAATGTGATGTCACATTAAAATTTTTCTCTAACCACATCCCAATGCTCTGAGCTGGTGGAAAATGTAATTTGGGTCATCAGTAGGATTTTCCACTCCACACCCAAGATTATATGAAGGTTCTAGGGGTCTTAGTCTCAGTCCAGTACATTTGGAAAAGGCCCTCTAGTCTTCACTCAATGCTGATTACTGCTAATATTCTCATTTTCCCACCTCATTCATCCCTTGTAGGTGAGCTGCTTTCTTGATTCCCTGCCAAGCTTGGGCATAAGGGTCTTGGTCATGGTTGGAATCTCAGATACCTAGCACGCAATCTCCCTAATATGCTACGCATTCATTCCCACCTAAGGTTCCACCACTTTCCTCACCTATTAGGTTCCTGGTAGTCACATAACCGGCAACTCTCCTTTTCTGTCGTTCAGCTAGTTGCCACCTACCTCAACCAAACTCAAAAGCCTCTAACCCCTCTCCACTGTGTGAAGACGGAAGTACCTCAATGGACACAAGTGTTTTTGGTGAAAGGGACTTTTTATTCTGCCCCGGAGCTAGGGAAATCCCAGATCTGTGCCAGAGTTATCAAGGGGGTAGTATATAATCATTCTCTGCATTCTTTTACAGCACTGAGAACAAGTAAAATTCTTACCTTAGTATCTTTACAAATCATTTTACCACACATGTATTGTCGTATGAAATCCCTACAACCACTCCATGCAGGAGTAATTCCCAGTTTACATCCTGAAGCTCTGATAAATTTAGAAACCTGCTTTAAGTCACAGAGCTAATAAGTAATGTGTAGGTGCTATAAACTATGTGCCTTGGGCTCTGCAGCTATGAGGGCGTGGTATTATCACAGTTCCTATCGAAATACCTTGCTGGAGGTCATGTGTGAGTGGCAGTGACCAGACAAATAGAGAAACCTCATATACAGAGGGGAAAAGTCTCCATGTATAGTGCCTGGGATATCTCCATGTTAGTGCTGCTCTTTCTTGGATCTTCACCGCAACGCCACTATCTTGATTTTACTATAAGAAACTGAGGTTTCGAGTGCACTGGTGATTTGCCTACTGCCACAAAACCAGGCTAATGGGCTGGGCGCGGTGGCTCAAGCCTGTAATCCCAGCTCTCTGGGCAAAGGCTGAAGCGGACGGATCACCTGAAGTCAGGAGTTCGAGACCAGCCTGGGCAACATTGGCGAAATCTCGTCTCTAATAAAAATTTAAAAATTAGCTGGGCGTTTGACGCGCGCCTGTAATCCCAGCTACCCGGGAGGCTGAGGCTTGAGAATCGCTTGAACCGAGTGGCGGAGGCTGCAATGAGCCGAGATCGCGCCACTGCACTCCAGCCTGAGCGACAGAGCGAGACTCCTTTTCTACAACAACAACAAAAAACCAGGACAAATCTTGCTGGCTTCCAGTATGGTATTCGTTTCATCTCACCAAACTGGCGTGGCCTGCGCTAGCTTCAGAGTCTCGACAAACTCCAATACAAGTAAGGTACACATTATTTTAGCAGTCTTCCTTGGGGAGGACGTGGGGCAAGCACAAGCGTAGCGTTAGGCCTGAGACTCCACCCCAGCCGTCTCTGAGCCCAGTTCAGCACGCACGCGTCAGGCGGCTTTTTTCCGCCCGGCTCCTTTCCTCCACTCCCTTCCCGCCACTCCCCGCCCTTTTCCCGCCCGGATGTTATTCTAGTTTTGCCGGATGTTGTTGTATGTCCGAGAGACACGTGAGGTTCTGCTACGTCATTACCAGGCACGCGCAGGAAACATGGCGGCGGCGGGTGTTGTGAGCGGGAAGGTAGGTAACGGCCTCCAGGAAGACCTCGGCTTTTCTCTGGGACGGGGATGCTTTTGCTCCCTGGCAGCTGGTTGGGGGAGGGACACGAGGGACTTTCTGTGTCCGGACAACCCGTGGCGTCTGTAGGAGAAGACTGGGTGGTACCAGCTGGTTTCCCGAGAATGCCAGTTCAGCCGCGGAGTTATAGAGCCGGCTACTGCTCCAAGGCCAGCTAGGCCTCGGCGCTCTTCTGCCCCAGAGCAGAGAGGCTTTTATTCGTATTACCTTTACTAAGGGACAGGTGGCTCTCTAGTTCCTTTTTTCCCCCGATTCACTGTTTCTTGACTCTAGTTCTTTATGTCTACTCTTCTGACTCCAGCGTCTTTTCTCTCTTTGAAGCGTTAACCCGACTTGCCTCTGTCTTCTTTGCTACAGTTTGGTGAAGATGTTTATGCTTCCTTCGGGAGGAGCTGAATAGATGCTAGGCAGCTAGCTGTGCGCTTAGAAGAAACGAGTGTATTGGGTCTGTTTTTACCAAGCTGCTGAGTTGGTTGGTGGTTGTGAGCAGCAGGACGTGTTTCCTGAGAGAAATGGAGATTTACACCATCCTGTGCTTGTCTAGGAAGGCGTCCAAATATTTATTTCCTAGGCATTTCAGTAGGAGTATTGGTCATGCTGGTTTACGGAGGTGGTCAGTGACACGCCTAATTTCGTTGGAAACTAGAATTACGTGCGGAGATTTCGTCGAATAGTGCCTATTCGCGTTCCGAGGGCACATCTTATGCATAGTTAGGGCTATCAGCTTTATGATATGCCACCGATAGTATTTCCCAGTGCAGGAGTATTTCATAAACAGCTGGAATCAACTGAAGTGACTCATCGAACACTAATGGTTGTTTACTCATTGCAGATAGCGTCCTCTGTTCCTTGAGTTTCACTCATGTCTCCCTGTTGCTTTCCCTACCCCATTTTGAATTATTTGACAGCGTTTGTGGTTTGGTGTTTGGAGTATTAGACTAGGCGGCTGAATGACAAATATGGGCTTGGTTTTGCTGTTAATCTGAAGTATGACCTTGGAAAATTGGGCAATTGTGACTTTTGTCTTTTCGCGTTCTTTATCTGTAGAATGGAGGAGATGCCAATCATTATTTCTTGTATTGGAGTTGTTAGGGTTATATAAATTTTTTTTTAAAAAAACATAAAATTACACACTTGTACCTACTGGCTCTTTTAAAGGATAGGTGGGCATCCTTTTTTGGATTATTCGTGCTCCTTGGTTGTCTTGTCAGTTTTTTTCTTTTTATATTCAGGGTGGATGCTGATATACTGCTTGACTTACTGCGTATTTGAAGATTATCCTGTTTGATTTTCCATCTAAACTGATCCAGGCTGGGACTTTTCAAGAGGGGATCCCTTCCGTTTAAACATCTCCCTCTTTCAGGTTTGGATTGATTTTGAAAGAATCCTTGAGGCAATGAAGCAGAGTTGTGAAATGAAAAACATTTTTCACTCTTTGCAGCCACTACCTTTCATAGTCTGACTTCTTAAAGTGAGACTTATATTTAGTAATTCTGCTTCATAACCTCATTTATTCTCATTCACTGCAAATTCACATCTATTGCCATCACTCCACTGAAACTAGTTTTCCATGCCAAAAGCTGCTCCTCTCCCAAGTAATACTATCATGACCAACAAAACCCACTTGTTCTTCTCTCAGTAAGTTCAGATCTGGTTTAATGGCATCATCTTTCACCTGGTTGCATGTTAAACATACTTGGAGGCATTCATTCCTATAACACTCTCTAATCAATAACCATGTCCTACCAGTTTTACCTTAAGAGGTTTCTTAAATTTACTGCATCTTCTTTACTATCAGCGCATAGTTCAGGCTTTTAGTCTGCTTCTATTCTTGATTTCTTGGCTGATTTTACTCCTTTTCTACAGTCTCTGCCCTTAATCTTCTCTACACCACCACTGGAGTTATTTTTCTAATGCGCAAACCTGATAATCTCTTGATTTAAAAAGCAAATGAAAACTCTTCACTTTTTTATCGTCAGCATAATAATAATAATAATGAAAGCTGGTTAATGTAACATAAAAAGACATGATACCTTTATGCTTCCCTACTTCCTAATCTTTTTTCTTTAGGAAAGGGGATGGGGAGAAAATGTGTGTGTGTGTTTATTTATTCATCTCCCCTCTCCCTTCAAGTTTTAGCTAAGAGTTCTAGTTTAGAAATCCAGGGGAGTGAATGTTAACCAAGGCTCACAAAAATCACTCGTGATACTTTTTAATAAAAGTACAGATGGTGGGCTACCAGCTCTGTTGAATTAGAGTCTCTCAGTGTCTCCACCTAGGATGTAACTTTTCTTAAAACTCTACTTGCTTTGAACTTGGAGTTTCGGAAAGTGATGGAGGAAGTTAATCTCTGTCTTGTAGGGAAGCAGCAAAAGGTAATGGTTAAGAGCTTGGTCTCTGAAACCAAACTAGTTTCAGAAATTATCTCCACACATTTACAAGCGACTTCAGTAAAATTACTTAACCTCTCTGTGCTTCAGTATCCTCATCTGTGATATGATAACAGTACCTACTTTATTCTTGGTATGAGGATTAATGAGTAAATATATTAGAAACTGTAGACTGAACTAATCATCATGAGGTCAGATCCTGAAATGTTTCATCTGCCCCTAACATAGATTCTGGCACATAATAGGTATTCAGTGAAGAGGAAGAAGCAAGAAGGTATGAGAAAATGAGGAACCAGGTGCCGTGGCTCAGGCCTGTAATCCCAGCACTTTGGGAGGCTGAGGTGGGAGGATCACTTGAGCTCAGGAGTTCAAGACCAGCTTGGGCAACATAACTAGACCCTGTCTCTATGAAAAATAAAAAAATTAGCTAGTTGTGGTGACATGTGCCTGTTGTCCCAGCTACTTGGGAGGCTGAGGTGGGAAGATTGCCTGAGCCTGGGACTTGGAGGCTGCAGTGAGCTATGATGGTGCTACTGCACTCCAGCTTGGGTGACAGACCAAGACCCTGTCTCAAAAAAAAAAAAAAAAAAAGAAAAGAAAAAGAAAATGAGGAGGGATTAGAGTGGGAGAAATGGGTCCATTAATAGCTCTTTTGTTTCAGAGTTGTAAAATCCTATTGTAGTACACTTCATTCACTCTAGGTTTTCCTGTTAGTGTATTAGAATTTCTTTCTATTGAAAATTACTGGCCGGGCACGGTGGCTCATGCTTGTAATCATCACTTTGGGAGGCTGAGGTGGGTGGATTACTTGAGGTCGGGAGTTTGAGACCAGCCTGGCCAGCATGGTGAAACTCTGTCTTTACTAAAAATACAAAAGCCGGGCATGGTGGTACACGCCTGTAGTCCCAGGTACTCAGGAGGCTAAGGCAGGAGAATCGCTTGAAACCAGTGCAGTGAGCTGAGATTGTGCCACTTGTTCAGACTGGGCGAAGGGCATACTGTGTTTCAAAAAATGAAAAAGAAAATTACTTGAAACAATAGGGAAATCAGCTGTTTTTTTTTCTTAATTAGAATTTGTGATGTCATTTTTAGTAACAATTTATTTTGTAGCTTAAAATTGGCCCTAACCAATTCTTTTTAAATATGCTCATAGTCCTATAAAATTTTTGTGCTTTAGAAAGATGAATATTCTTAGTATCTAGATTTTCCTGGAGACTTGTTTTCCTAGACTGGATCTTTTAACATGGTAGTTAACTAGGGTATAATAGGAGTATGTCTTATTTTTAAATTTTTCTGGCATTCTTTAGTTCAACAAACGTTTTAGTACCTCCTATGTGCTGAGTTCTTTGGATACAAGGGTGGTTAAACACAGACTTGTATTATTATTATTATTATTGTTAATTTATTTTTGGGACAGTCTTGCTCTGTCACCCAGGCTGGAGTGCAGTGGTGTGATCATGGTTCATTGCAGCGCTGACTGTGTATCTCCTCCAACTCTTAAATTATTCACGTCTCCTATCTGACTTCGCTTGGCACACCAATATCCTTGAGAAGCAATAATAGTTCTGCCAGTTGCTCTTCCTTGAGAGTTGTACCATTCTCTATATCTCAAAACATTCTTCACTTCAGACTATCTGTGATGTATTGCCCTTACAACCACCTGTATTGTGCATTTTTTTTAGTTCCATAGTCATTACTCATTAACACATCCCAAATAAAACTCAGCTTTCTTCTTTCTGTTCTCCCTCTCAGTAAATAACCTCATCTACACAGTTTTGTCCTTGACTGTTCTCCCCTTCACCTCTCACATCTAATCAGTCATGAAGTCTTGTCATTTTGATCTTCTAAATATCTTTCTAAGCCATCTGCCTTTCCTCATCCCCACTACCATTGCCTTAGTTCAAGCAACCATGAGTCTCTCCCTCTCTGGATTACTGCAGCTGTTCGTTCTTGGCCCTGCAGCCACTTTATTGGCTTAGAAAAGGCAAATTTCTAGTTGCGTTTGTCTGTCTTCAGGATAAATTTCAAACTCCTAAATTCTTTAGCATGGCTTATGCAGCCCTTTATGATCTGATCTGGTCTCTGTTTTTGTTTCTAAACTATTTAGACTCTACTCTCTGGTATTTGGGTTTCAATCATGCAGTGAACTACTGCTCTGTATAAAATATATCCTCTGCTAAGAACATATATCCTCTGCTTCCCTATACCCTCTACTAATTAAAATTGCCATTATTTAGATCTCAGTTTATATGTCGCTCTAAGTAAGTTTTCCTGATTCTCACTCTGCCTGAGCCTCCTAAATCTAGGTAAGATAGCATTTATTAGGGCTTGCTGTGGCAGCCTGTTGGTACAATTACATGTTGTAATTGTCTGTTTTCTTGTCATCCCATTAGATTGTAACTGCTGTGGAGGCAGTGACTGAATCTTACTTATTTACACCTAGTAGCTTGCTCTGTACCTGGCACATGGTAGGCGTTTACTGTATATTTATTGAAGAAGTAACTGAAAATGGTACCTCATTCAGGATTCTCTGCATTCCTCTATTACACTCTACTATATACATTGATTTACTGGCTTACATAATACTGCTAGTTTAGTCAGACACTTTTCCTTGTGTGTGTTTTTGCCACTGACACCTTTTATTTCCAGCATGTGGTTGGTGCTCATAAATGTGCTGAATGCATGAGTAAAGAAACTTCTAAATCAGATTAAGTGGAATGGAGAGTAGTTCAAAGAATTTGGGCAGGCTATTGCTTATGTTCTTTTCTGAAGGATTTAGTAGAAGTTATTTGCAGAGAGAAAGGATAAAAGGGTGTTCCAGGTAGATGGAACAGAATACACCTGAAAAAAGGTACAAAGCTTTTGGGTAACAGAGTTCACAATGGCCCAAGGCAGAAATGTTTTATGTGTTGGGGAGTATCAGGAAGTATAGCCTCACTGTAGAGGTAAAGGGTGAAGTCAGAAGATTTTTAAGCCCCTGTGTGGTATAACCAGATGGACATTTTGTAAAGGTTAGTTTGGGCAGTGGTTATACATTATGCACCTTAGGCAGATTATTGGAAGGTGACTAGATCAGAAGAAGAGAGATCAGAATGTTATTTTAGTGACTTAGGCTAGAAATGATAAGGGGCCAGTGTCAGAGGAGAAGGTTCGAGGGACTTAGGTTATAGGGTCTGGATGGTGAAAGAAGCATTTAGAATAAGTGGGTGGATGAGATATCTTTGACAGAATTGGGAATATAGAAGAAGAGCAGGTTTAGATAGAACACATGAGATTAAGATGCCTTATTGAAATGGAGATACCAAGTAGGTGCTTAGATATTTGGGTGTGGAGCCCATTAGGATGCTCAGTCTCGCATTTCCTGGGGATGCTTTCTGGAACCATATGCTCAAATTATCATCTGTATGCCAAATAGTTTTGAAAGAAACTGAACTTTTGTACCTTTTTTGGTTGTTATATTAGCCTGTAAGTTCACATAATTGCTAAAGTTAAGAATGCATGTTGTGTATGATAGGTGATGGGTTTCCAAGTTTGGAGAATGATTTAGGGCAATAATTTTACCCTGAACTTACTGCTACATTTAAAATATTTGGGTTGAATTTTTCCTTTATCTTCCATTTTTGGAAATAAATAAAAATTATAATAATCATAATATAAGTAAAAATTCAGTATTAAGTGTAGGGACAGTATAAAAAATTACTACTGTATTGTGAAACTTCCTTATTTTTTCCAGCTCTTTGTGTCAGGAAGGATGTTCTTGAGTTGGATTGTGCAAAAGTTCATTCTGTCTAAAAGTTGAATTTATCTGTTTTTCTGCCTCATTTTTGCTTTTTAATTAAAACTTTTGCTAAATTAGAGGTGAGAAAATTTATTCTAAAATGTTTGCTGTGGTCACCAGAACTCTTTTAATAAGGTATATCTGACATAGCTCCTTTGCTAGAGGAGAAAAACAAAATACAGTTTCTGTTGCTTTCAGCAGGCCATCATTGGAAGTTTTATAAATGTACTTATCTGCTTGGGCATCTTAGCAAATATTTAAGAATAAATAAGAGCCTGGAGGGCATGAGACATTTTTATCCCAAAAGGAAAACTTTCCTCCTTTTTTTTGTAGTATTTTTACACTTAGAATATTCCTTCTTTACCTTTTCAATAATTTTGCCAGGTACAGACAAGCAAGGAACTCTAATACCTTTTAATTTCTCTGTTCTTTATGATGTCTGGCACATAATTGCTTCATAAAAGTTTGTTGAATTGAATTTTATACAGTCAGTTTAGCACCACCAAGTGGCAAGTCTTTGAATGCTCTTGATATATTTTGCTTCCTATGAACACCTGATTCCCAGCTAAGTGAGGGTATGATTGTTAATTTTTTTTTGAGGCAGGACTAATTTCTTTCTTTTTAGTGAGAATGTCCTCATGTATGTATGTATTTATTTTTAATTAGGTTTTTACTGTTTACAACAATGGACTTTCTATGTAAATTATTTTTTATACAGCTTTTTTTTTTTTTTTTTTTGCCCTGAGACATGGCCTTGGTCCGTGGCCCAGGCTAGAGTGTAGTGTGTGATCTCGGCTTACTGCAGCCTCCGCCTCCTGGGCTCTAGTGATCCTCCCACTTCAGCCTCCTGAGTAGCTGGGACTAAAGGCATGCACCATCACACCCAGCTAGTTTTTGTATTTTTTGTAGAGATGGAGTGTTGCCGTGTTGCTCCGTCTGCTTAGAACTCTTGGCCTCAAGTGATCCGCTCACCTTGGCCTCCTAAAGTTCTGGGATTACAGGTGAGGCACTGTACCTGGCCTATACAGCTATTTTTGAGATACAATTGATATGATAGACCACATGTATTTAGAGTATACAACTTTGACATTTGTGTACACCATGAACCCATGAACACAATTAAGATAATGATGTTTTCACCACCTCTGTTAGTTTTCTCGTGACTCACTGTACCATCACTCCATGTGTCCTCAGGCAACCACTGAGCATTTTTTGGTCACTATAAATTAGTTTTAATTTTCTAGAACTTTATATAAATGGAATTATATAGTATATACTCTGTTTTTGTATGGCTTTCTTTATTCAGGATAATTATTTTGAAATTCATGGTGTTGTATGTATCATTAGTTTTTTTTTTATTTCCAAATAATATCCATTGGGCCAGGCACGGTGGCTCACGCCTGTAATCCCAGCACTTTGAGAGGCTGAGGCGGGTGGATCACGAGGTAAGGAGTTCGAGACCAGCCTGACCAACATAGTGAAACCTTGTCTCTACTAAAAATACAAAAATTAGCTGGGTGTGGTGGTATGTGCCTGTAATTCCAGCTACTCGGGAGGCTGAGGCAGGAGAATTGCTTGAACATGGGAGGCAGAGGTTGCAGTGAGCCGAGATTGTGCCACTGCTCTCCAGCCTGGGTGACAGAGCGAGACTGTCTCGAAAAAAAAACCCCACAAATAATATTCATTGTATGGGTATACCACATTTTGTTTATCTAGTCATGTGTTTGATAGACATTTGGGTTATTTCCACTTTGACTGTTACAAATAAAGCTGCTCTTAGGCCAGGTGCCGTGGCTCACACCTGTAATCCCAGCACTTTGGGAGGCCGAGGTGGGTGGATCACCTGAGGCCAGGAGTTCAAGACCAGCCTGACCAACATGGAGAAACCCTGTCTCTACTAAAAATACAAAACTAGCTGGGCATGGTGGTGCATGCCTGTAATCCCAGCTACTCGGGAGGCTGAGACAGGAGAATCGCTTGAATTCAGGAGGCAGAGGTTGCGGTGAGCCAAGATCTTGCCACTGCACGCCAGCCTGGGCAACAAGAGCGAAACTCTGTCTCGAAAAAATAATAAAACAAACAAATAAATAAAATAAATTAAAGCTGCTCTGAGCATTGGTATATGTGTTTTATGAAAATATGCTTTCATTTTTCTTGATTGGATACCTGGGAATGGGGTGGCTGGATCATATATATTAGTTGTGTGTGTAGCATTTTAACACACTGCCAAATTGTTTTCCAAAGTAGGTGTAGTGTTTTATATTTCCACTGGCAGTGTATGAAAGTTCCAGTTGCTTCATATTTTTGCCCATATTTAATGTCAGTCATTTTAATTTTAGCCATTCTAATAGGTGTGTAATAGTGTTTCATTATGGTTTCAGTTTACATTTCTGTAATGACTAATGGTGTTGAGTATTTTTCCATGTGCTTATTTGCTGTCCTTGTATCTTCTTTGATGAAGTGTCTGTTTAAATCTTCTGCTTATTTTTTTTCAAACTGTGTTTTTTTGTCACTGAGTTTTTAGTGTTCTTTTTATGTCCTGGATTTTATATTCTGGATACAAATCCTTTTAATACAAGTTCATTTGGGTCTTTTTAAAAAAATTATTTATTTTTATTCATCTTATATAAAAGGGGGGCCAAATCTAAGAAAATAATGTTATGTCAAAGTTTGTTTTTTAAAGCATAAACTTTCAGAGTTTGTTTTAAGGTTAATACATAGAGTGCTAGCTTTTTAGTCACCTGAGAATCAGGAAATTCACTTGGACGTAATTCCCTGTGGTAACAAAGAACTATGGCTTCCTATGGGTTTGTCAAGCTCCTAGGCTTCATTCAGCCTGAAATTATACTTTTCTTGTTATGTATAAATTAAATAAAATCTATACAACTGTCTGTTCTTCTGTTGCCTCACATCATGTCTATAAAAACAGCATTTAAAGTTTGCAGGAAATAGAATTTTGGCCTGTTACAAAGCAAACACTTTGTTTCTTTAACTCAGAATTCTGGAAATGCAATCAAGTTCTAGTATTGTGACTGCCAAAATATTTTGTCATCAGATATTAATTTTTTTCAAGTGTCTGACTCCATACAAGAAAATAATAAAAGTATCAGAAGTTAACTGTGATTATAAAAAAAAAAAAAAACAAAAAAAAAACAAAAAACTTCAGTGTCCATAGGGTTGTTCCTCATGGTTTGTTAGGATACTCCTGCCTGATCCAAGTGCATCAGGTCTGAGACTGTTCTTTGTTCCACGCTTCTATCTGCCAGAAGAATCTTTTTAGGTAAGGAGGCTATCATAGGAGGCAATGGAGCTTCTAGCTGTTGTCCAAGGAATGAAAGCAGGCGCCTCCAGCTGAGCCACTTCCCATGAACATAATTCCTGTAATCAGTCAAAACACTCCATGGGCCTCTTCAAGGGAAGATTCCAAACTCATTCCAAAAGCAACTTCCATTACTCCAAAGAGCGAAAGAGAGAAGGTTCTTATGGTCAGCTGTAGATTCAACTTCATTATCACGTTACAGTGGCTGTCCAGATTGATGAAAATAATACTTTGTGAATCATCAGTCAGTACCGTAAGCTCCTAAGCTGCATTGGAGACATCGTCAGCTAGTCGGTAGTAGTTTTCCATCAGCAACTCTATCTCCTCTGCATGGTCAGTCCCAGTACTGCTCTTTTCAAAGACTCGGGGGTCACTCCATTTTGATAGAGCTCTTCTAGCAACTCTTTCTCATCCAGGATCTCCAAAATTGACTCTGAAAATTTTAATATCTGTTTCTAACTCTAATAGACTTTTGCCATTCTGTAGTAAAATGTGGAGTTTGCTTCTGTCTATAGAAGAATGTTTGGGGTCCACCAAAGCTTCCAGCGTCTTGAGGATCAGTGGCTGGAAAAGGCTAAGTTTCCCCTGAAGGGTGTTGATCCAGTATTGCAGGAGTGCTTCTATAGCTCTAAACTCAAAAAATTAAAGGGTTTCTAACAAGTTGACCCTCTCCAGACAATTGTGAAGAGAGTTCCCGGAACAGCCATCGCTGTGAGTTTAAATTATGATAATCTAATATCAGAAGACACTCTGGAGTTATCTCAGCTTTCAAATACTCCATTCTCATGATAATCATATTATTTCTGGCTGTGATACTCATTACATAGTGAAATCTCAAATCTCTGGCTTGAAGACCTAACTCTTGGTATAACTCAGTTTTCTTCCTTTCAAAAGAAGTAACATTTCTCTGTCAAATTTTGTCATGGTAAATACTGGGGCTATACTGGCTAGAGTGGTTTGAAAGACATCAGAAGTTCTAAACCAGTGCATTTCACCTGCCATGTGGAGCCGGCGGGGTTCGCACAGTGGGCCACCCAGCTCCTTCTGAGCAGGTTGGCTGCACAGCCACAGGCAGTCGCAGAGTTTTTGTTCTGTCGCCCAGGCTGAAGTGCAGTGATATGATCATAGCTCACTACAACCTTGAATTCCTGGGCTCAAGTGATCCTTCCACCTCAGCCTCCCAGGTAGCTAGGACTACAGGCATGTGCCACCATGCCTGGCTATTTTTTTTGTTTTGTGGACGTGGGGTCTAGCTGTGTTGCCGAGGCTGGTCTTGAACTCCTGCCCTCAAGGCGATCCTCCTACCTGGGCCTCTGTATTAGTTTTCACATTGCTATAAAGAAATAGCTGAGGCCGGGCGCAGTGGCTCACGCCTGTAATCCTAGCACTTTGGGAGACCGAGGTGGGTGGATCGTGAGGTCAGGAGATCGAGACCATCTTCGGCAACATGGTGAAACCCCGTCTCTACTAAAAATACAAAAATTAGCCAGGTGTTGTGGCGCGCGCCTATAGTCCCAACTACTTGGGAGGCTAAGGCAGGAGAATCGCTTGAACCCGGGAGGCAGAGCTTGTGGTGAGCCAAGATTGTGCCACTGCACTCAGCCTGGTGGCAGAGCAACACTCCATCTCAAAAAAAAAAAAAAAAAAAAAAAAGAAAGAAATACCTGAGACTTGGTAATTTATAGATAAAGAGGTTTAATTGGCTCATAGTTTTACAGGCTGTACAGGAAGCATGATGCTGGCATCTGCTCAGCTTCTGGGAGGCCTCAGGAAACTTACATTCATGGTGGAAGGCAAAGAACAAGCCAACACGTCACATAGAGCAGGAGGAAGGGGGAGGGGGAGGTGCTACACACTTTTAAACAACCAGATCTCATGAGAACTCACTATTGTGATGACAGCATCAAGAGTGGATGGTGTTAAACCGTGAGAAACCACCCCCACTATTACCTCCCCCCAGGCCCCACCTCCAACGTTGGGTATTGTAATTCAACATGAGATTTAGGTGGGGACACAGATCCAAACCATATCATTCCTCTTCTGGCCCCTCCCAAATCTCCATTTCCTTATCACATTTCAAAGTAGAATCATACTTTCCCAGTAGTCCCTCAAAGTCTTAACTCATTTCCGGCATTAAATCAGAAGTCCAAAGTCTCATCTGAGCCAAGGCTAGTCCTTTCCACCTGTGAGGCTGTAAAATGAAAAACAAGTTAGTTACTCCCAAGATTCAATGGGGTTATAGGCATTGGGTAAATACTCCCATTCCAAAAGGGAAAAATCGGCCAAAAGAAAGGGGCTGTAGGCACATGCAAGCCTGAAACCCAGCAGGGCAGTCATTAAATCTTAAAGCTCCAAAATAATCTCTTTTGACTTCATGTCCCACACCCAGGGCACACTGATGCAAGGGGTGGGCACCCAAGGCCTTGGACAGCTCTGCCCTGTGGCGTTGCAGGGCTCAGCCCCTGTGGCTGCTCTCAAGGGCTGGTATTGTGTGCCTGTGGCTTTTCCAGGCTGAGAGTGCAAGCTCTTGGTGGATTTATCATTCTGGGGCCTGAAGGACAGTGGCCCTCTTCTCACAGCTCCACTAGGCAGTGCTCTTGTGGAGGCACCGATACTACATTTCTCCTCCTCACTGCCCTATTAGAGGTTCTTCATGAGGACTCTGCCCCTGCATCAGGGTTCTGCTTTGACTACCAGGCTTTTCCATACATCCTCTGAATTCTAGGCAGAGACTCTCAAGCTTCAGCTGTTGCATTCTGTGCACCTGCAGGCTTAACATCATGTGGAAACTGCTATGGCTTATAGCTTGCACCTTGTGGGCCTCAAAAGGGCCCAGCAGCCTGAGCTTTACCTGGGCCCTTTTGAGTCACAGCTGGAGCTGGAGTGTCTGGGATGCAGGGAGCAGTGTCCTGAGGTTGTGCAGGGCAGCAGGGCCCTAGGCCTGGCCAAGGAAACCATTTTTCCCTCCTATGCGTTGGTCCTGTGATGGGAATGGCTGCTGCAAAGGTCTCTGAAATGCCTTCAAGGCCTTTTCCCCATTGTCTTGGCTATCAGCACTTGCCTTTCTGGTAGTTATGCAAATTTCTGCGGTGAGTTTGAATTCCTCTCCTGAAAATGGGCTTTTCTTTATTGCCACATGGCCAGGATGCAAATTTTCTAAACTTTTATGTCCTGCTTACCTTTTAAATATAAGTTCCAGTTTCAGGTCATTTCTTTGCGTATGCATATGAGCATAGGTTGTTAGAAACAGCCAGGCCACATCTTGAAGACTTTGCTGCTTAGAAATTTCTTCCACTGGATACCCTAAATCATCCATCTCAAGTTCCAAGTTCCACAGATCCCTAGAGCAGGGGCACAGTGCAGCCAGGCTGTTTGCTAAGACATAGCAAAAGTGACTTTTACTCCACTTCCCAGTAGTTCCTCATTTCCATCTGAGACCTCCTCAGCCTGGCCTTCACTCTCCGTATCACTGCCAGTATTTTGGTCACAACCGTTCAACCAGTCTCTAGGAAATTCCAAACTTTCCCTCATCTTCCTATCTTCTGAGCCCTCCACACTCTTCTGACCTCTGTCTGTTACCCACTTCCAAAGCTGCACCCACATTTTAAGGTGTTTTTATAGCAATGCCCATTTCTGATACCAATTTTCTGTATTAGTCAATACTCACTGCTATAAAGAAATATCTGAGACTGGGCAATTTATAGAGAAAAGAGGTTTAATTGGCTCACAGTTCTTCAAGTTGTAAAGGAAGTGTGGTGCTGGCATCTGCTCAGGTTCTAGGGAGGACTCAGGAAACTTACAATCATGGCGGAAGGCAAAGAGCGAGCCAACACTTCACATAGAGCAGGAGGAATAGAGAGAGGGGAGGTGCCACATACTTTTAAACAAAATCAGATCTCAGGAGAACTCACTATTGACATGACAGCACCAAGGGAGATGGTGCTAAACTGAGAAACTGCCCCCATAATTCCATTACCTCCCACCAGGCCCTGCCTCCAACATTGGGGATTACAATTTAACATCAAATTTGGGCAGGGACACAGATCCAAACCATACCACCCTCCCAGAGTGCTGGGATTACAGGCGTGAGCCACTGCACCTGGCCGAGTTGTGACTTTAGTGTCTTGAACATATGGGATAGACTTAAAATAATACTTTAATATCCTTCACTACTATTTGTGTTGTTTTGTGGTCAATTGTAATTGATTACTTTTTTTGTTATAGGTCATATTTTCCTGGCTCTTAGCATGCCTTAGTGGTAAATTTTTTACTGGATGTCAGATATGTTGAATTCTCTTTTTGGGTGCTAGATATTTTTGTGTTCTGTAAAATACTATTGAGTTTTGTGTTAGAAGGCACTTAAGTTGCTTGGAGTCAGTTGGGTACTTTTGGGTCTTGCTTTTAAACTTTGCTAAATGGTATCAGCACTGCATTTAGTATAGAACTAATTTTGCCTCACTGATGAGGCAAGGGAGTGCTTTGTGAATTATGAGATTTCCCACTCTGACTGGTGCAAACAGTTATGTGAGCCTGCAGATAGTTTCTTCTAATAGTTTCCCTCTCGCCTTGAAGAGTTTACTGACAAACATGCACTGTTCCATACTCTGCTGAATACTCGAGGAAGACTGCAGATTTCTTGAGTTCCCTGTGTGTTCTTCTCTTTTCTCTGGTACTTTCTCCTGTGAACTCTAGCTGTATTGGCATCCCCTATT